>NC_000011.10:31423636-31575151 GCF_000001405.40 Homo sapiens | reverse complement strand
AGCTTATGCATGCTTCACGTAGTTCTCGTGCCATGGTTTTCAGTTCCATCAGGTCATTTAAGGATTTCTCTACACTGTTTATTCTAGTTAGCCATTCGTCTAATCTTTTTTCAAGGTTTTTAGCTTCTTTGTGATGGGTTCGAATATCCTTCTTTAGCTTGGAGAAGTTTATTATTACCGATTGTCTGAAGCCTTCTTCTCTCAACTTGTCAAAGTCATTCTCCGTCCAGCTTTGTTCTGTTGCTGGCGAGGAGCTGCATTCCTTTGGAGGAGAAGAGGTGCTCTGATTTTTAGGATTTTCACCTTTTCTGCTCTGGTTTCTCCAGATATTTGTGGTTTTATCTACCTTTGGTCTTTGATGATGGTGACGTACATGGGGTTTTGGTGTGGATGTCCTTTCTGTTTGTTAGTTTTCCTTCTAACAGTCAGGATCCTCAGCTGCAGGTCTGTTGGAGTTTGCCGGAGGTCCACTCCAGACCCTGTTTGCCTGAGTATCACCAGTGGAGGCTGTAGAACAGCAAATATTGCAGAACGGCAGATGTTGCTGTCTGATCCTTCCTCTGGAACCTTCGTCTCAGAGGGGCACCCAGCTGTATGAGGTGTCAGTCAGCCCCTACTGGGAGGTGTGTCCCAGTTAGGTTACTCAGGGGTCAGGGACCCAGTTGAGGAGGCAGTCTGTCTGTTCTCAGATCTCAAACTCTATGCTGGGAGAACGACTACTCTCTCAAAGCTGTCAGACAGGGAGGTTTAAGTCTGCAGAAGTTTCTGCTGCCTTTTGTTCCATTATGCCCTGCCCCCAGAGGTGGAGTCTAGAGAGGCAGGCAGGTTTCCTTAGCTGGGGTGGGCTCCACTCAGCTCAAGCTTCCTGGAGGCTTTGTTTACCTACTCAAGCCTCAGCAATGGTGGACGTCCCTCCCCCAGCCTCGCTGCTGCCTTGCAGTTCGATCTCAGACTGCTGAAAAAGCACATGACTTCTTATGTTACTAGCATTCTCAGCATTATTTCTAGAATAAGATTTTAGAAGTCTCAACTTTTCAAAACAGTCTATACAAAAAATACCTCATTTGTGTTTATTTAGATGAGCTCTCCTCAAATTTCAACTATTCCTCTATGAGATCATTAAGGGCAACGACTATGTCTTAGCCATCTTTTCATCCATAACAACTGTTATATACTCAATGTTAGTGTCCTCCTCAGGTCCATACATTGAAGTCCTATCCCCTAATGAGATGGTATTTGGAGAAAGGGGTGTTTGAAAATATCTAAGTTTAAATGAGATAGTCAATGTTTGTGTCCTCCTCAGGTCCGTACATTGAAGTCCTATCCCCTAATGAGATGGTAGTTGGAGAAAGGGGTGTTTGAAAATAACTAAGTTTAAAAGAGATAAATACTCAATGTTTGTGTCCTCCTCAGGTCCATACATTGAAGTCCTATCCCCTAATGAGATGGTATTTGGAGAAAGGGTTGTTTGAAAATAACTAAGTTTAAATGAGATAATAAAGGTAATTAATTATATTAATTAATTACCTTATAAGAAGAGACACCAGAAAGAGCTCTTTCTTTATCTGTGAAAAGAAGGGGTCATGTGAACACACAGTGAGAAAGCAGCAGTCTACAAGCCAGGAAGAGAGCCCTCACCAGGAAATGACTTGGTTGAAACCTTGATCTTGGACTTCCTAGTCTCCAAAACTGTGAGATAGTAAATTTCTGTTGTTTAAACCACCTAGTTTATAGTATTTTGTTATGGCAGCCTGAGCTGACTAACACAGATTTTGATACCGAGAAGTAGGGTGCTGCTGCAAGAAATACCTAAATGTGTGGAAGTGTCTTTGGAATTGGGTAATGGGTAGAGAGCTAGAAGAGTTTTGAGGTATATGCTAAAGATACGGATGCAGACTGGAGGTTGCCAGGGGTCAAGTGGTGGTAGGGAGACAGACTGCATGTAGGCACATTTCTCAAGGGATGGAAATATTCTATGTTATGATTATGGTGGTGGTTATAAAACTGTGAACATTTACTCAAACTCACTGAATTGTATATGAAATTGATAAAATTATATGTAAATTATACTTTGGAAGAATTCATACCAATCTTCCTGCCTTCCTCCTCCTGCCCCCTTCTCTCCCTCCTTCCTTACTTTTTTTGAGACAGAGTCTTGCTTTGTTGCCCAGGCTGGAGTACAGTGGTGCAAACACAGCTCACTGCAGCCTTCTTGAACTCCTGGGCTCAAGTGATCCTCCTGCCTCAGGCTCCTGAGGAGCTAGGACTACATGTGTGCACCACCATGCCCAGCTAACTGTTTTCCTATTTTTTTGTAGAGATGGTGTCTTGCTATATTGCCCATGCTGGTCACTTAACTCCTGGCCTCAAGTGATCCTCCTGCCTTGGCCTCCCAAAGTGCTGAGACTACAGGTATGAGCCACTGTGCATGGCCTACTACAAACCTTTTTTACATTAATATACAATTCAGCAACATAAAAAGGGACTTCAATAAAAAGAATGTGTAAAAATAAGAAACTGGTAACATCTTAGATAGACAGATAGATAGATAGACAATCTCTCTATAAACATATCCTCTCTCTAACAGAAAATGAAAACGAAATTAGAAATGTTGGGGAGAGAATAAGCAAATGAAAATGAAAGGCCAAACATAAAAACAATAAATAAATTAAAAATGTGACATGACAATGAGCAACTGAAGGAATATAAGTGAAATCCATTTTACTTTCCTCGTCTAGAGGCTCTGTTTACTGGCATAGGTATTTTCTTTTCAAAGGGTCTAATTACATTTGATTCTGAAGTAAAAATATCTATATAATTAAAAATTTTAAATGCCAAGAGAGATGAAGAAGCTTCAGAAAAAAAGCTGGAAGTTAGCAGAGGTTAGTTCATGAGATTTCAGAAAAGAAGCCTTCTCCATAACAGTGCAAAGTGAAACAGCAATTCTTGAAGTTGAAACTGCAGCAAGTTATCCAGAAGATCTAGCTAAGTGATGAAGGTGGCTACACTAAACAACAGATTTTCAATGTAGATGACACTGCCTTCTATTGGAAGAAGATATTGTCTAGGACTTTCATGGCTAGAGAGAAGTCAATGCCTAGCTCCAAAGCTTCAAACGACAGGCTGACTCTCCGTTAGGGGCTAATGCAGTTGATGACTGTAAGTTGAAGCCAATACTCACTTATCATTCCAAAATCCTAGGGCCCTTAAGAATTATGCTAAATCTACTCTGCTTGTGCTCTATAAACAGAACAACAAAGCCTGGATGATAGCACATCTGTAAACAACATGGTTTTCCGAATATTTTAAGCCCACTATATGGAAACCTACTGCTCAGAAAAAACAATCCTTTCAAAATATTACTGCTCACTGACAGTGCACCTGGTCACCCAAGACCTTTGATGAGGATGTACAAGGAGATTACTGTTTTCATGCCTGCTAACACAACATCCATTCTGTAGCCCATGGATCAGGAGTAATTTCAATTTTCAAGTCATATTATTTAAGAATACATGTCTTAACACTATTGCTGCTATAGATAGTGATTCCTCTGATGGATATGGGCAAAGTAAATTGAAAACCTGGGAAGATTTACTATTCTAGCTGCCATAAGAATATTCATGATTCACGAGAGGAGGTCAAAATATCAATATTAACAGGAGTTTGGGAGAAGTTGATTCCAATCCTCATGGAATTCAAGACTCTGGTGGAGGAAGTAACTGCAGATGTGATAGAAAGAGCAAGAGAACTAGAATTAGAAGTGGAGCCTGAAGATGTGACTAATTGCTGCCATCTCATGAGAAAACTTTAATTGATACGGAGTTGGTACTTCTGGACAAGAAAAAAGTGTTATTTTTGAGATGGATTCTACTCCTGGTGAAGGCGCTATGAACACTGTTGAAATAACAACAAAGGATTTAGAATATTCCATATACTTAGCTGATAAAGCAATGGTAGAGTTTGAGGGGTTGATTCCCATTGTGTTTGTCTTTTCAATTTTTATTTTAGATTCTGAGGGTACATGTGCAGGTTTGTTAAAAAGGTATACTGCATGGGCTGGGCACGGTGGCTTACGCCTGAAATCCCAGCACTTTGGGAGGCCGAGACAGGTAGAACATGAGGTCAGGAGTTTGAGACCAGCCTGGCCAATATGGTGAAACCCCGTCTCTACTAAAAATACAAAAATTGGCTGGGCGTGCTGGCGTGCGCCTGTAGTCCCAGCTACTTGGGAAGCTGAGGCAGAACAATCGCTTGAACCCAGGAAGTGGAGGTTGCAGTGAGCCGAGATGGTGCCACTGCACTCCAGCATGGGCGACAGAGTGAGACTCTGTCTCACAAAAAAAAAAAAAAAAAAAAAAAAAGAGTTTACAGTTTGGCCAGGCACAATGGCTCACGCCTCTCATACCAGCACTTTGGGAGGCCGAGGCGAGTGGATCACTTGCTTGAGGTCAGGAGTTCGAGACCAGCCTGGCCAACATGGTGCAACCCCATCTCTACTAAAAGTACAAGCACAAAAATTAGTTGGGTGTGGTGGTGGGTGCCTGTAATCCCAGCTACTTGGTAGGCTGAGGGAGGAGAATCGCTTGAACCCAGCAGGCAGAGGTTGCAGTGAGCCAAGATCGCAACACTGCACTCAAGCCTGGACGACAAAGTGAGACTCTATCTCAAAAAAAAAAAAAAAAAAAGGTATATTACATGATGCTGGGGTCTGAAGTACAATTGAAACTGTCACCCTGGAAGTGAGCATAATGCCCAATAGGAAGTTTTCAACCCTTGCCTCACTCCTTCCCTCTCCTGCCTTGTATTCCACAGTATTTACTGTTCCCATCTTTATGTCCATGTGTACCTGATGTTTTGCTCCTACTTATAAATGAGAACATATGGTATTTGGTTTTCTGTTTCTGCGTTAGTTTGCTTAGGATAATGGCTTCCAGCTACATCCATGTTGCTGCAAAGGACATGATTTCTTTATGGCTGCATAGTATTCCATGGTATATATGTATTACATTTTCTTTATTCAGTCCACTGTTGACGGGCACCTGGGTTGGTTCCATGTCTTTGCTATTGAGAATAGTGCTACAATGTATATACATATGGACGTGCCTTTTTGGCAGAATGATTTATTTTCCTCCGGGTATGTACCCAGTAATGGAATTGCTGGGTTGGATGTTAGTTCAACTCTTAGATCTTTGGGAAATCTCCAAACTGCTCTCTACAGTGGCTGAACTGATTTACATTCCCACCAACAGTGTATAAGCATTCCCTTTTCTTCAAAATCCCACAAACATTATTGACTTTTTAACAAAAGCCATTCTGACTGGTGTGAGATGATATCTCATTGTGATACTGACTTGTATTTCTCTGATGATTCGTGATGATGAGCATTTTTTCATGTTTGTTGGCCATTTGTATGTCTTCCTTTTTTTGAGACAGAGTCTCACTCTGTCACCCAGGCTGGAGTACAGTGGTGTGATCTTAGCTCATTGCAACCTCCGCCTCCCAGGTTCAAGTGATTCTCCTGCCTCAGCCTCCTGAATAGCTGTGATTACAGGATGCACCAACATGCCCAGCTGATTTACTGCCATTTTGGCCAGGCTGGTCTGGAACTCCTGACCTCAGGTAATCCACTCACCTCGGCCTCCCAAAGTGCTGGGTTTACAGGTGTCAGACACCGTGGTGTTCTACTTGTATGTGTTCTTTTGAGAAGTGTCTGTTCATGTCCTTTGCTCTCTTTTCAGTGGGGTTGTTTTCTACTTGTTGATTTAAGTTTCTTATAGGATCTGGGTATTAGGCCTGTGTCAGATGCACAGTTTGTGAATATTTTCTCCCATTTTGTAGATTGTTAGTTTATCCCATTGACACTTTCTCTTGTGGTACAGAAGCTCTTTAATTAGGTCCCACTTGTCAATTTTTCTTTTTGTTGCAAATGCTTTTGAGTACTTAGTCATGAATTCTTTGCCAAGGCTGATGTCCAGAAGGGTATCGCCTAGGATTTCTTCTGGGATTGTTACAATCTGAGGTTTTAGATTTAGGTTTTTTTTCTTTCCTTTTTTTTATTTTTTTTTTTGAGATGGGGTCTCACTCTGTCGCCCAGGCTGGAGTGCAGTGGCACGATCTCGGCTCACTGCAACCTCCGCCTCCTGGGTTCAAGTGATTCTCCCACCTCAGCTTCCAGGGTAGCTGGAATTACAAACATGTGCCACCACACCTGGCTAATTCTTGTATTTTCAGTAGAGACGGGGTTTCACCATGTTGGCCAGGCTGGTCTTGAACTCCTGACTTCAGGTGATCTGCCTGCCTCAGCCTCCCAAAGTGTTGGGATTACAGGTGTGATCCACTGAACCCAGCCTAGATTTAGGTTTTTAATCCATCTTGAGTTAATTTTGTATATGGCGATAGGCAGGTGTCTAGTTTCATTCCTCTTCACGTGGATAGCCAGTTTTCCCAGCACTATTTATTGAATGGGAGTCCTTTCCTCATTGCTTACTTTTGTCTACTTTGTCAAAGATCAGATGATTGTCAGTGTATGGCTTTATTTCTGGGTTCTCTTTTCTGTTCCATTGGTCTTTATATCTGTCTTTATACCAGTACCATGCTGTTTGGGTTACTGTAGCCTTGTAGTATAGTTTGAGGTCGGGTAATGTGATGCCTCTTGTTTTGTTCTTTTTGCTTAGGATTGCTTTGGGCTCTTTGTAGTTCCATATACATTTCAGAATAACGTTTTCTAATTCTGTGAAAAATGACATTGGTAGTTTGATGGAAGTAGTGTTGAATCCTTAAATTGCTATGAGCAGTATGGCCATTTTAATGATATTGATTCTTCCAATTCATGAGCAAGGAAGACTTTTTCATTTGTGTCATCTCTGATTTCTTTCAGCAGTGTTTTGTAGTTCACTTTCACCTCCTTGGTTAGCCGTATTCCTAAGTATTTTATTCTTTTTGTGGCTATTGTGAATGACACTGCATTCTTGATTTGGCTCTCAGCTTGATTATTGGTGTATAGAAATGCTACTGATTTTTATACATTGATTTTGTATCTTGAAACTTTACTGAAGTCATTTATCAGTTTAAGGAGCTTTTCGGCAGTTGACTCCCATTTTGAAAAAAGCTCTACTGTGGGTAAAATGCTGCCAAACAGCATCACTTGTACAGACCCAAATCTTTAATAAGAAGAAGAGTCAATTGATGTGGCAATCTTCATTGTTGCCTTCTTCTCAGAAATTACCACAGTCACCCCAACCTGTAAGTCAGCAGCCATCAACATCAAGGCAAGACTCTATACCAGCAACAAGATTACAACTTGCTTAAGGCTCATATAACTGTTACCATTTTTTAGCAATAAGGTCTTTTTAAATTATTTATTTTTTAGTCATAATGCTATTGCACACTTAGTAGACTATGGTATAGTATCAACATAACTTTATATGCACTGGGAAATAAAAAAAGTGACTCACTTTATTGTGGTGGTGTGGAATCAAACCTGCATTATCTCCAAGGTATGCCTTTATATCAAAACCAAGGTTGAAAAATGAGGCATATATTTACTTTATTTCACTGATTCTAAGACTCATGTTTTTCTTCACATTACCATCTCTAAAATCAGGATGCATTTTACAACTGGGAGAATATCATAACTGTCAGCCTGGAAGCAGATACAAAGTTATTATGGTCTGCATATGCAAAAACTTGCTTGTTTTTCTTGGTGTTCAAATGGACAAATGTAATTCTTCAATGTTTCAGCCAAAAATCCATATATGGATCAAGTAAAGAATAATAAAAATCCTGGCTTTTTAGGATACTACTATTGATCCTATCTGAGAAAATCAGGACAGTGCTTGCACGAATAATTGCAGGATGGATGTCAATGTTTTAGAATAAAATCTGGGTACAATATTGCATCACCTTTAAGAAGTACTACAGGCCGGGTGCGGTGGCTCACGCCTGTAATCCCAGCACTTTGGGAGGCTGAGACAGGTGGATCACCTGAGGTTAGGAGTTCGAGACCAGCCTGACCAACATGGAGAAACCCCATCTCTACTAAAAATACAAAGTTAGCCAGGTGCGGTGGTGGCGCATGCCTGTAATCCCAGTTACTCGGGAGGCTGAAAAAAAAAATAAATAAAGAAGTACTACATTGCCAGTGCTATTAATGACAGAGAGAACAGTATCTTGTGAAAAATGTAAATTGTGAAACACATGGATATCAATGACTATGAGCCAGAAAGTGATTTAGAACAGTAGTAATCTGAATGTGAAGTTTTATAAGTACCTTACATGTTGTGCTTCTTTTTTTATAGACAGGTGTGATATGACTTAAAAAATAAGTAAGTCTAAGAAACCTCTTCCAATAAGAATTAAATAAAAAATTTAAGTGAATAGAAACGTTCTTAGTTCAGGTGGGAATACTTTTTTTCTCTTAGTATATTTAATAATGATGCATCTTACAATCAATGGCCTCTCAGATTCTGATAAAAATGGAATGCCTTTTGTAAGCAGATGCAAATGCCCTTAGCATCTTTGTTTCTAAGTGTTGCATCAATATAAAGAAGTATTTTACCCGATTATGGTGTGGATAAATGTTATCATGCTAGTAAGTTAACCAGCGAAGACCTATGTGACTACCTGGTAACTCTTCAATATTTTTTTAACCATTCTTTTAGCCAAAAATTTGAACAAAAATAACAGAAAATAAAAATGTGGTCCATACAAATTAAGAATAATCAGTAGTGTGATTTTTAAGTCTTGTGAAATACAGAATTAACCTATGCTAGAGAATGAATCTTTTTTTTTTTTGGAGATGCAGTCTCGCTCTGACGCCCAGGATAGAGTGCAGTGGCGCAATCTCGGCTCACTGCAACCTCTGCCTCCCGGGTTCAAGCAATTATCCTGCCCCAGCATCCCAACTAGCTGGGACTACAGGTGCATACTGCCACACTCAGCTATTTTTTTGTATTTTAGTAGAGTCGAGGTTTCACCATGTTGCCCAGGCTGGTCTCGAACTCCTGAGCTCAGGCAATCTAACCGCCTTGATCATCCAAAGTGCTAGGATTACACTTATATGAGCCTTAAGCAAGTTGTAAGCATGAGCCACCGTGCCTGGCCTAGAAAATGAATCTTAACACAAACAAATGTAAGAACATTCCATGCTCATGGTTAGGAAGAATCAATATCGTGAAAATGGCCATAATGCTCAAGGTAATTTATAGATCCAATGCCATCCCCATCAAGCTACCAGTGACTTTCTTCACAGAATTGGAAAAAACTACTTTACAGTTCATATGGAACCAAAAAAGAGCCTACTTTGCCAAGACAATCCTAAGCCAAAGAACAAAGCTGCAGGCATCATGCTACCTGACTTCAAACTATACTACAAGGCTACAGTAACCAAAACAGCATGGTACTGGTACCAAAACAGAGATATAGACCAATGGAACAGAACAGAGCCCTCAGAAATAATACCACACATCTACAACCATCTGATCTTTCACAAACCTGACAAAAACAAGAGATGGGGAAAGGATTCTCTGTTTAATAAATGGTGCTGGGAAAACTGGCTAGCCATATGTAGAAAGCTGAAACTGGATCCCTTCCTTACACCTTATACAAAAATTAATTCAAGATGGATTAAAGACTTAAATGTTAGACCGAAAACCATAAAAACCCTAGAAGAAAACGTAGGCAATACCATTCAGGACATAGGCATGGGCAAGGACTTCATGTCTAAAACACCAAAAGCAATGGCAACAAAAGCCAAAATTGACAAATGGGATCTAATTAAACTAAAGAGCTTCTGCACAGCAAAAGAAACTGCCATCAGAGTGAACAGGCCACCTACAGAATGGGAGAAAATTTTTGCAATCTACTCATCTGACAAAGGGCTAATATCTAGCATCTACAAAGAACTCAAACAAATTTACAAGAAAAAAACAACCCCATGAAAAAGTGGGCAAAGGATATGAACAGACACTTCTCAAAAGAAGACATTTATGCAACCAACAGACACATGAAAAAATGCTCACCATCACTGGCCATCAGAGAAATGCAAATCAAAACCACAATGAGATACCATCTCACACCAGTTAGAATGGTGATCATTAAAAAGTCAGGAAATAACAGGTGCTGGAGAGGATGTGGAGACATAGGAACACTTTTATACTGTTGGTGGGACTGTAAACTAGTTCAACCATTGTGGAAGACAGTGTGGCGATTCCTCAGGGATCTAGAACTAGAAATACCATTTGACCCAGCCATCCCATTACTGGGTATATACCCAAAGGATTATAAATCATGCTGCTATAAAGACACAGGCACACATGTTTATTGTGGCACTATTCACAATAGCAAAGACTTGGAACCAACCCAAATGTCCACCAATGATAGACTGGATTAAGAAAATGTGGTACATATACAACAAGGAATACTATGCAGCCATAAAAAAGGATGAGTTCATGTCCTTTGCAGGGACATAGACGAAGCTGGAAACCATCATTCTCAGCAAACTATCGTAGGGACAAAAAGCCAAACACCGCATTTTCTCACTCATAGGTAGGAATTGAACAATGAGAACACTTGGACCCAGGAAGGGGAACATCACACACCGGGGCTTGTCCTGGGGTAGCAGGAGGGGAAGGGATAGCATTAGGAGATATACCTAATGTAAATGATGAGTTAATGGGTGCAACACACCAACATGGCACATGTATATGTATGTAACAAACCTGCACGTTGTGTGCATGTACCCTAGAACTTAAAGTATAATTAAAAAAAAAAAAAGAAAATGAATCTTAAAGCAACAGTGTCATCCTATATCTCTGGAAAAAAAATCTACTCTATAAAAATTCTGTTTCAGTGGTTACAGTATTACTATTCATAATTCAAGTAAAAATGACTTAATGAAAATGATATGTTGGGGAACAAAGAAGGAACATTCTGATACTTTTGTTATCTAATACCCAGAAATTTATAATGTAAGTTTGTATTCAATACATTATTATATTTGGAAGTACTAAAATTTTTAAGTATGCCAACATTAACTATGTTACTTACTGGGAGTCATTGACCCTCCAGAGGTGATCACTACTATAATCTATACCATTTGTTACAATGACTGTTTCTAATCAAACAAAAAATTTAATTAGTGTTTTGATAAAAGCTCTATTTCAAGAAAATGCTAGGCATAAAACTCTTTAATATTGAACTATTACAGCTGTCAATCACAGATAACATCCTCCCTTACACTTTCAAAAATCCCCAGCCTTTGATTTCTAACCCAGAGCACAAACAGAACATACTGTATTGTTGTTATATCTTTCTTTCCTAACAGAGGGATTATCAGAGTTTTGGTTCTTTCTGCAATTTGGTGCTTATGGTTCTCAAGTATATGGTATCAAGGGTCATGAATAAATAAAAACAAAAAGCAGACTCCATAAGTTCTATACAGATGACAGGATGGGAAGGATGAAATTTCTCTTTTAGCCAAATGAAACAGATTAGAAAATTAATATGAATAAAGAAAATAGGACTACCTTTCAACAAAACAACAGTTTTTCTCCTTTAAAGATCCTATCTGAAATAAAATTATAAAATTCCCATATAAAAATATTATTCCAGTATTTATGTATATTTATTTCCTCACTAGAAACATTTACCTTATCCATAAGATGCTGTAAATATATTTCGGCCCGTTTCATTCCAAGCTCTTTCTGTTCTTACTGCTATATTATTTTGTGGTCTTTGTTTTGGCAGATGCACAAGCAAAATCTGATTCTAACAGTTTGACCCTTCTCACTTTTTATGTTCTCTAGGGCATAATAAAACCCAAGATACAATCCCTCAGCAGTTAATGAAGCTTAACCTCACACCCTCTTAATCACCAATGCATTACACCAACTATGGGCATCATACTCCTCTCTAAGCTATTTTACAATTCAGCAGAAGTACTACTGAGCTATTATGTACCAACATAATCCATGCAGCATGAGAAATCCTTCTTAAAAATAAAATCTTTTGATCCTTCCAGGTTTTGGTAACTGTATAATTAATACTACTTAAGCATTATCCATGTATCAGTAAGTATGTTACTTTGTTGAATTTTTGTGTTTATTTTGGCAACTTTTATTTTCTGAAAGTTGGAAAACAGAAAAAAATCAAAGATATTACTGATTCATTGCCATAATTTTAATACAAAAGTACTACAAATATCTAACCTGAGTATCCATGTATTAATAGTATATTCCCTGTATTATCTTCATTGAAAATATTTAGAAATATGGGGGAGGGGTGACTTTGGCTGTTTGAAGCATTTAAAAAATGTCATAGAATGGCATAAAGTCAGGTTAAGGGGTATAGATGATATTGCATAAAAAGTTTTTAAAACTCAGATTTTAAAACCAGTATTAGTGAATTAACTTATTTCCACGCATACTTCAACTAAATTCCATACAGATCAGATAATATCTTAGTGAAATTTAAGATATTTTTCTTGAATATAAAAGTGGCAATATCACTGCTATTACAAAAAGAAAGGGTGAAAAACACTTTCACATTGGTATACAAATATTGTTTTAATACATTTATAAGTTAAGGTATTGACAATAATGATGCTTGTTATTTGGCAATCACATCAATTACATGAATCTGAAAATAGAAAGGAAACCAGTGGGATAAGGACAGTGTTCTCAATCCTTTTCCATGGATCCCTATCACATTTCTCTTTAACATGTAAACCAGGAATGTATTGAGAAGACTAGATAATATTTCTTTCATTTTTCTTGATTAAGATAGAGCAAATGAGGAGGATAACATGAAAAAAGAGGAAATGGAAATCTGTATTATGTATTCAAAATGAAAGGATTACACTAAGAAATAAAAATAGGATACCATCTTCATTTAAACACAAATCATAACCTAATTATTTAAAAATATTGTATTAGAAACTATCACATTTTGAAAAGTACCAATCACAAAAGATCTCAAAACAATTTCCGTATGTAATTAATCCCTGGGTTCTATCCCAATCTGGTAGTGAGGTTGGGAAAATAAGGTACAGGCAGATTTAAATTTCTTATCGAGGTCCCAGCAATATGTCTACTCATAACATAAATAGCACTTCCAAGTCTTGACCAAGGCAGCCACATGCTTTCAACACTGCCTATGGATGGCACTGACTTAAAAGGAGTTTAAAGGGAAATGTGCTGACTTTCAAGGCATTCTGATAATAGATTCCATAATTATTTTCTCACCCATATCAAAAATTAAAGCCATCAAACTGTTAGCAACAACCCTGCATGTAGTATGTATTAATTTTATCAATTTTCTTACATATATTGAACTAAGATACAGATTTTATTAAGTTTATACATAATAATGTAAAGACTGTATTATATCTTATTTTAAAATGTGCTCTTCAGGCCAGGCATGGTGGCTCACACCAGCAATCCTTGCAATTTGGGAGGTTGAGGTGGGAGGATCACTTGAGGTCAGGAGTTCAAAACCAGCCAGGCCAACATGGTGAAACTCCGTCTCTATTAAAAATATAAAAATTAGTCAGGTGTGGCGGCGGGAGCCTGTAATCCCAGCTACTTGGAGGAGGCTGAGGCAGGAGAATCGCTTGAACCCGGTAGGTGGAGGGTACAGTGAGCTGCGATTGCACCACTGCACTTCAGCCTGGGCAACAGAGCGATACTCCATCTCAAAAAATAAAAAATAAAAAATAATGTGCTCTTCAAACAAATTTATTATGAAGAAAGCTTAAAATGAGAAATTCCATGCTCAAAGAGAGACAAGAATGAACTTTGGCATCTATTAATATTTCTATCCATAAAAATTTGAGTGTTCCTTTGGCAGGTTCTTTTATGATGTAATGTTCATATATTAAATGCTGTCAATGTTTAATCTGGCTCTGGGTATATTGTATACTCAGTACAACTATAGAGGGTTAATATAAGATAATAACCTGCAAATAATTCTATAGTTAAGAGCTACTAATTAGGTAACTACCACTGATAAAAGCATGTAAACTTCAGTGTGTGTGTATTATGTATACATGTATACACATGCATGAGTATGTGTGGGTGATAGAAAGTCATGCATTGTTTAAGGAGAAATGAGATTCTGTCACTGTGCAAACATCACAGAGTGTACTTAGAAAAATGTAGGTGGTAGATGGTAGAGCCTACTACATACCTAGGCTATATGGTATAGCTTACTGCTGCTAGGCTACCAACCTGTACAGCCTATTAATGTAGAAGATTGTGGGCAAATATAACACATGGGGAATATTTGGGTATCTAAATATAGCAAAGGTACCATAAAAATACAGTATTAGAACCTTATAGGACCACTGTTGTGTATGTGGTTCCTTGTTGACTGAAACATTATGTGGTACATGACTGTACGTATATATATACAAAACAATGTTGTTTTATATATATATAAAACAACGTTGTTTTATATATATATAAAACAATGTGGTCTTTATAATAGAAAATAATTAAAATATATTTTATAAAATATTTTAAAAAGTGGATAGACTTTTCCACTTAATCACTGGTATTTGCAGGTTTAGTTAGTGAGACCATGTGTAGTAATGCCCTTTAGTAAATGTTTACTGTATAGGGGTATATATTAACCTGTGTTTAAGAAAATGTGAAAGATGATAATTCATATTAGGCAAGCAAGTTATACAATATTGAGTTATAGAAAGATTCTATGTCTGCAAAATTCTTTTAAGTATTAAAAGTGTCCCTATTGAATATGAACTAAAATAATTTCTAAAAACCTGATATAACTGAAATGTTACTAAATATAAGTACATTATCTTTTAAGAAATTAAGATAGTAACAAAGATCTTTACTATCATTATTATTTCTTAAACAGAGATCATAGAATTTTTAAGTTTTTGGAAAAGAAGTAGTCTAAAGCTTCAAAAATATCTACTGTCAACACCTAAATTAGGAATGAGGTGAGATATTATCTTCATTTAAGGGGTCCAGATCAGTTAAATTCCTAGCACAGGAACACACAACATTTGAACAATTTCATTTGTTTGAAGTCATTTTCTTTTATATTTCCAGAATAAACCCAGCTTATGAAAAAGGACACAAGCAAAAATGCTTAGGGTATTGTGGGGCACTAATAAGATTGGATATCATTTTATTTTTTTTTAATTTGAAAATTATTTACTGTGGTACATCTAGAATTATAGAACAAAACAACAAAACTGATTTGCCTTTTTTTTTTTTTTTTAGACGGAGTTTTGCTCTTGTTGCCCAGGCTGCTGGAGTGCAATGGCGCAATCTCAGCTCGCCGCAACCTCTGCCTCCTGGATTCAAGCAACTCTCTTGTCTCAGCCACCCGAGTAGCTGGGATTACAGGGATGTGCCACCATGCCTGGCTAATTTTATATGTTTAGTAGAGATGAGGTTTCTCCATGTTGGTCAGGCTGGTCTCGAACTCCTGACCTCAGGTGATCTGCCCGCCTCAGCCTCCCAAAGTGCTAGGATTACAGGGGTGAGCCGCCGCTCCCGGCCCAAAACTGATTTTCTTTATACTCTTTGATTACTGAGAAGTCGAGGTAACTAGTGAAGACATAAAACAGTGTGTCTTTAATTCTACAGCAGCCTATATGTTATACTTTGTTTTAAAAAGAATAAAGGTAAGAAGCTTCACCTCATGGTCTCAAATCTATTCTTAGTTTAATATCATCTACCCTGTTTTTGAAATCTAATAGACTTTCAGACATGTAGCCAAACTGTAAGATGAATATTATATAAACAACAAACACATTTCAAAGGCCTCTGATTTCATTAACAAATCATAATTTGAAAAGACAGACGTGGTGAACTAAGGCCACTTGCTGCAGGTGTCAGTTTCTGATTAGCAAAACTTAAAATTTTAGGAAAGAAACACTAGCCACTGAAGGAATCACCCCAACACTAGCTGGAGAGAGAGCTCTATCTTCTTTGGGGTTTCCACAGTAAAGTTATCCTTTTGTACAAAATAAATCTTCACAGCTCATCTATTTAATTTGACCCTTGACAGTGTGCTGCCTTTTTCCTTTCGTGGCATCCTTTAATGTTGCATTTAGTGGGATAATATGTTAATTTGGGGAGCTGACAAAATGTATTTTCTTTTAGTTTTAATGCCTCTGGTTTTCAGAATTTGAGGTCATTTATCCCTCTCAAAAGGATTGAATATCTTTTCTTCTGAAAAAATAAGTATTCAGAAGAAAAATGAACTTTGTTTTTAATATTCCCAATTCTGACTTTGGTGGCTTCTTTTCAATGATGACAAAGTGCTATATTTTATTATTTCTTTTGAACATAACAATAATCATCTAAGAATGGGTTATTCATTTTTATGGGTTCAAAACAAAATTTCTTAAATTAAATTGGAGGACTAAAATAAATGCTTTAAGATTTAGAATGGAAAACCTGATATTTCATTTTTAATTTGGAACTCCGGAATAAGGTAGGCAGGGTAAGTATCACTCCTCTCTTAATATAAAAGGCTAAGTGACTTAGGCAGGGTCTTGCAGCTAGTTAAGTGGTAACATAGAAATTAAAATCTAAGCTTGGATTCCAAATAAGTTTTACTTTCTTGAGAATAAACGTCCTATCACAGGGCATAGCATTTTTGCTGTATGACTTAGACAACTTTTCTGCATGCAAAATTCCTTTTGTTGATTGATGAATAAACATCAATGCTAAATGTGTTTATATTAATATAGCAGCAATGGTTCTCACTAGCTAGTGATAGAGAGTTGGAGAGTCGGTTTATTCTCCTGTACATTTTAATTTTTATCTTATCCTTCATTTCCTTACTAGAAAATCAGGCACATGCCATCTTTAAAAGCTGGCTAGAAATGTAGGTCACTGGAAGCAGTACTGAGCCTTTGCATGTTTTTTTTTAGTCTTTTTACTTTGCCAAAGAAGCTCTAACTGTGACTGCCAAGGGAGAACTTAGAATTTTAAATAAGCTCTCACAGTAGCCAGGAAGAAAAAAAAAAAGAGTGAAACCCTGGGGTCAAACAGCAAATTTCCGGCTCAACTAACACTTCAGAGTAGTAAGCACTGAAAAGTGTATAGATAGCCTGATAACTTTCTGAACAAATAAAATATTGACAAAAAAGGGAAAATATTCTGATTATAGCTCTGCCTTCAAAGGACTCTCCTAATAGTTGTATTTATATGATGAACAAAAGATATATAGTGCTAAAATAGTTTTAAGGAAATATAATAAATACCATTATATAGTCTAGGAAAAGTAAAAATGTGTGGAAAAAAATTATTTATAAGGTATTAAGTATACTAAATCTTGCAAAGAAGACTGATACCAACGGTCAGAAAGTAATTTTTAATTGTTTATAACATGATACACTGTATGGCTTTTGTTCTGAATCTGTATATGATTACAACTTTGGAGTTTAATAAAGTAAAAATGTTCAATGGTATATTTGGTCAATTAAGGGTTATTACTTTAACTTCATTCTTATAACTGTCCCATTTTTTGGCAGAACTAGGAAAACAATAGTTGCACCTGAGGTATTTCTGGATTCTACTCACTCAGAAAGACCAAACTATACTACAATGCAGTAAAAGCAAACAACTGACTACTCACTGTGTTCAGACTTCTAATTTTTGTTCTCTGTTCAGTGAATAACAGATAGGTGCCAAAAACAAACATTTATATCTTGATACCAAAATGACAGAAGGAAAAGAAAACTTTATAATAATAATTCAAACTTTACATCATTTAGCAAATAATATTGCTTTAGCTAATTCTACATCAACTAATATCTTTGATACTGGTTAAAACTAAAGAATCAAATAAAGCAAAATATATAAGGTACAATGAATCAGATCCTAACAAATGAGTTCAATATTTGGGTAAGTCTGGTATTTTGTGGTATAATATAAACCCTTCGAATTATTAAGATATTATTTTAACTTTCACTTATGGACCTTAAAGTCCATAAAAAAAATTTAAAAGATGTTAGTCTAAATTTTAACATGTTATATGTATTGCTTTATTACTAAATGTTCTGTTGCTGCATCAATTCATAAAATATGATATGGTTTACTTTTAATGAACTCTTTATTCTCAGACTTCTGGTTTATTTCAAAGTGAGTATTCATTTTCAATTATGAAAGATTTTCTAGATATTAATTGTGGGAAGTTTCAGCTTAATTGATTAAATTTGAATTATTCATTTGCTGTTATATTTGATGTTAAAATATTATATACTATAAGCTTTTAGTAAACATCAAGGTAGTTCTAATATGCTGATAATCATGTACCTATCCTGAGTAAAATTTTAAAAACACAACTTTTCAGCATGTTTAAAGCACCCTAGCCTCCTACTTTCTTTTTATTGTAGCTGATGCTGGACAGTGCATACTCAATAACAGATAATTCGAAAGTTAATGCAACAATTTATGTTTTGCTCTCGATCTTAGATACTTCTTCCTGCAGGAATACTACCTATCTGAAATGTCATCACTAGCTAATATTCAAATTAAGTTTTAAAACTGACTTTGGCATATTATGAAACAGCATTTAAATTTACTTCTGAAAATCCTTTTATTTTCTTCAGTTCTAAAAATACTAACACATAACTTATTAAAAATTATGAAAAGGATATAAAAATCTTAATGTCTTCAAGCTCTATAAAAATTGTGTGTGCACGTGTATATAATTTATTTCATAAAAAATCAGTCTACTAATAAATGTTTAAATCTTTTAACAGAAAAATGTAATTTTTACTATTTTATAAAACATTCCATAGAAAGTTTTCATGGAAAATACTCATCATTACATTGGAGATGATGAAGAAAATTTCTTTAGACAAGAAAGCTAACTGAAAAATACTTATATGTGTTTTTAAAAGCTTTAATAACATCATGTATATTGTTCTATATGATTTTCTAAGGGGTGTAATTTTTCACCATTACATCTTAATGCTGACTTCCTAAAGGAGCTTTGACTACAATAGGCATGAATATGTTTTCAAAGGATGATGGATAAATTGCTGGGTGGTTATATATCTTAGGCAGCTGATGGGCTTTTTATCTTTTACTTGTCTTCTAGTTATACACAGCTTTAAGATAATTATGGTCTATAAGACTGTCTTTTCCCTATTCTTGTACAGAAATATTTGCGTTGGTTATAGGTTCTAGAAATTCCCAATCATATATCATAAAATTAAAACCAAACAATTACAGCATTTTCCCCCTACACTGTATCTCTTAAACACTGTTAACTCCTTGGTTTTGGTCATTCATTGTTGGACTATTTGATGAAAATAAAGTTCTAAGTATAACTGTAATTGAGGTCTGCATACTGAAATCCTATGTGAATATTATGTAGAAAACCCTACTTATCTGTATTGGTATTCAATATCATTTTTTACATTACAAAAATATTTTGTTTATTCTTCTCAGAGAGATGTTAGAAATCTCTTTGCACTGGTGTTATGAAGAATATAATTAAATTTTCATAAGTCTTACTTTTTAAATATAGTATATTCTAAACTTACACAAAAACTGGACCACATTAATATATATATTATGTTAAAAACAATACTTTTGTACTTTTTCATAGTAAAATGAGAATGGCATATTATTCTTCTAATCACAGTGTTTGTACAACACTGTAAGTGTACCAAAAAATCAAATAGTTTTATTATTCCATAACAAATATGTAAGAAATATAAAATGACAATATTAGGAATTTAAGAAATATTACTAACAGGTGAAATGACTGTATTAAGTCCAAAACCAGATATATTTTCAGATTAGAGCAGTGTGAAATATGAAAACATAATCAAAATTCAAATAGTTTAAAAATGCTCACAAGCAAGAACTAGAATAACTTAACGAACTGTCACACATTACATTGAACCCTTCAAAGACAATCCTATACCCCTTGCATATCAACCGACCCTACAAATCCTTGATAGTACATAGCACATATAGTCATTCATCGTACATAGCACATTATAGTCAAATCATTTCTCGTCCCCACGGATATCCCCCTCAGATAAATTTTATTAATTTAGGGAAATGTTAACTTTGTAGATTATTTAGCATACAGGCGCTTTGACTACTTTCGGTACTCATCTGTGTAAGTGGCTTTATTTAAAAGCAAATAATGACATTGAAAGCAAACAAGTTAATTTTTCCTAAAGATCACACATTCAACTTTACGGTTAACATATTGAATATAAAATCTGAAATGCTACATAAAAACAAATCTAATGCTTAAGACAATTTGGTTTTTGTCTCAGCAATAATATCTTTGATAATACATTCTAAATGCACAAGATAAAGCATAATGGATATGATGACACTAGAACACATTCCTTAGTTCAAAACTAGAGACAGCAGAGTGGGTAGTTGTGATGGGCTGGAGGGTGGAAGAAATGAAGAGATGTTTGTCAAAGGCTATAAAACTTCAGTTATCAGATGAGTAAGTTCTGAGGATCTAATGTACAGTATAGTGACTATAGTTAATAATATTGCATTGTATATTTAAAATTTGCTAAAACAGTACATCTAAAGTGTTCCTTCCACACCAAAAATGGTAACTATGTATGGTGATAGATGTGTTAATTAATTTGATTGTGGTAATTGTTTCACAATGTATACATATACCAAATCATGTTATATACTTTTTATATACATATAAAATAATTCATATATATAAAATATATAAATTTCTATTCATCAATTACATCTCAATAAAGCTGGGGAAGAGGATGGAAGAAAGCCAGAGAAAAATAACAACTTTAAAACAAAACCAAACCTATGCTATTCTAGAGCAAGAGAATCCTTTAACGCAGCAGTCCCCAACCTTTTTGGCACCAGGGTCTGGTTTATGGAAGACAGTTTTTCCACAGACTCGGATGGTTTCTGGATGATTCAAGAGCATTACATTTATTGTGCATTTTATTTCTATCATTATTACACTGATATACAATGAAATAATTATATAACTGACCATAATATAGAATTACTGGGAGCCCTGAGCTTGTTTTCCTGCAGCTAGACAGGGGTGATGGGAGACAGTGGCAGATCTTCAGGCATTAGATTCTCATTCGGAGTGCGTAACCTAGATCCTCTGCATAGGCAGTTCACAATAGGGTTCATGCTCCTATGAGAATCTGATGCCACCACTGATTTGACAGGAGGTAGAGCTCAGGCAGTAATACAAGCAATGGGGAGCAGCTGTAAATACAGATGAAGCTTTGTTTAGTTGCCTGCTGCTCACCTCCTGCTGTGAGGCCCTGTTCCAGTACTGATCCATGGCTGGGGGTTGGGGGCCCCTGCTTTAAAACATTAAAAACTGTATTATTTAAGGCTCTCTAGAGAAACTGAACCAATAGGGTGTGTGTGTGTGTGTGTGTGTGTGTGTGTGTGTGTGTGTTTGTGTGTGCAAAGAGATTTATTGTAAGAAACTGTCTCATATAATTATAGATGTGGGCAAATCCAAAGACCTGCAGGATAAGTTGGCAGGCTGGAGACCTCGGACAGTTAATAGTGTAGTTCTAGTCAAGGTCCATTGGTCTGAGAACCAGGAGAACCTAGGTGTAATTCCAATTTGCAGGCTGGCAGGCTCAAGACCCAGGAAGAGCTGATGTTTCAGTAGGAGTCATATGGCAGGAAAAAGCCAATTACCAAGTTCAAAAACAGGCAGGAAAATTTCTCTGACTCGGGATGGTCAGCGTTTTTGTTTTATTGAGGTCTTCTGCTGACTGGCTGAGGCCCACCCAAATTAGGGAGGGCAATCTACTTTACTCAGTCTACCAAATTAAATGTTAATTCCTTTCAAAACACTCTCACAGGAACACCTAGAATAATATTTGACCAAATATTTGGGTATCATGTTTCCTCAGACTTTTCATATATAGTAAGGATTCATTTGTCATCCACTGTAATAAGCAATAGAAATATAGCAATGAATAAAACAGAAAAGACTTGTACGGAAGAAACACAATGAACTAATACAGAAGTAAATTATAAAGCATATCAGGTGACAGTAAGGTTATGGAGAAAAATAAGGCAGCTAACAGGATTATGAGGCCTGGGGAGTGGGAGTAGGACGTTGTAACATTTATTAGGGTAGTTAGATTAGGCCCTGCTGAGATGGCAACATTTGAGCAAAGTCTGAGAGAAGCAAAAAAGTTCTTAGCCAAGGCAACAGCAAATCCAATGGCCCTAATTTTGGAGCATGCCTAGCAAGCAAGGCAGTTCATATAAACAGAATAAAGTCAGGGGGAGATATTAAGTAATGAGGTCAGACAGGTAAAGGGGAGGTAACAGAATATTAGCTAGGGCCTTTAAAGTCCTTATAAGGACTGTGGCCTTTGTCTTCTGGAGAGTTTTGAGTTTAGATGAGTGACATGATCTGACTTACATTTGAAGAGGCTCACTGAATATTTTGGTGAGATCAGACTGAAGAGAAGCAAAGGTAGAAACAGGGAGGCCAAGCAATAAACAATTTATGTTCAAAGTAGTATATTTGTATTTCCTGAGATATTGAAGGAGAGTATAGGAGATAAAGGGTTAAGGATGAATCCTTGGTTTAGGCTTGAGCAAACAGAAGATGTGAGTTGATATTAACTGAGATGGGAAAGGCTGAAAAAGGAACAGGCTTGGGGAGAGCAGTTCAGGAGTTTGGTTTTGAACATGTGATGTTTGAGATCTCCAATAGACTAAAGTAATATGTACTGTAGGGAGCTGGATATACAATTGCAGGAGTTAGATGTACAGAAGGCAATAGCAGCTCTGGATAGGTCCAAGTAGATTATAAATTTGAAAGTCATCAGCATATACATACTACTGACATCCTTGGGGCAGACGTGATCAGCGAGAGAACAGGAACAGAGGAGTTATAAAGTCTGAGTCCAAAGACACGTCTATTAAAAGTTTGAGTAAATAAGTAAGAACTAGCAAAGAAGAATAAGATAAAGTGGCTAGTTAGGAGAACACCAAGAAGGTAGTATCCTGGAAACCAAGGGAAGAAAGTATATCGGGGAAGAAGGAATGATCAATGATATCAAGTGCTATTGATGAGGCAAGTCAGATGAGGCCTGAGAGATGACCACAGTAACATACAGTCTTCTAGATAAAATATCTCAAATTTTATTACATCAGAATTGCTAGGGAAACCAAAGTAAAAGGAAGGAAGTTTGATTATTATTATTTTTGTTACTAGGTTAGAAATCTGTGTGTCAACCTAGTCTCCTATCTCTTACTTATAAAATTAGGGTCATGATATGTTTTGAAAAGACTTTCACAAGGTCAAGTGTCACCGTTATTTCATAAAAGAGGAGGTAATGTACAAACAAGTTGCTGAAATTATTTAAAAAACAGCAGAATTGTACTTGAACATGAATTTACTAACTGAAATTCCATTTTTCTTAGAAATAGCTTTATTCAGGTATAACAGACACATAACAAACTGCCCATACTTAATGCATGTAATTTGGTAATATTTTACAGAGGTACAAGGAGTCTTTAAAAAGTTCACGGTAAAAGTGTATTGTGAAAAAAACCATGCATAACTTCCAAAACTTTTCTGCACCAAAATAAACTTATACTAATTTGTCTTAACAAGATCTAGTTTGAGGCACTAAGAAGCACAGTTAGCTGTTTAGAAAGAGCCCCATTAGAGAAGGTGAATTCTGCTAAAATTGAAGTAAGAAAAACCATCAAATTTATGGTAAAGCTTGGGTTGAAGAATGATAAAATCATTGATGCTTTGAGACTAGTTTATGGGGACAATGTCCCAAAGAAATCAGCACTTTACAAATGGATAACTAATTTCAAGGAAGGACGAGATGATGTTGACGATGAAGGCTGCAGCTGCAGACCATCCGCATCGATTTGCAGGGAAAAAACCTCATCTTGTTCATGCCCTAATTAAAGAGGACTAACGATTAACAGCACAACAATAGCCAATACCACAGACATTTCAATTGGTTCAGCTGACACAGTTCTGACTAAAAAATTAAAGTTGAGCAAACTTTCCACTCTATGGGTTCCAAAACTGCTATGCCAAAATCAGTTGCAAAGAGCAGAGCTTTCAATGGAAATTTTAAACAAGTGCGATCATAATCCTGAAGGATTTCTTCAACAAATTATGACAGGCAATGAAACACGGTTTTACCAGTATGATCCGGAAGAAAAAGCACAATCAAAGCAATGGCTAGCAAGTCGAAGTGATGAAGTGAAAGCATAAGGGGTCAAGTCAAGAGCAAAGGTCATGACAATAGCTTTTTGGGATGCTCAAGGCATTTTGTTTGTTGACCTTCTGGAGGGCCAAAGAACAACATCTGCTTATTATGACTGTTTTGAGAAATGTATCCAAAGATTTGGCAGAAAAAAATGTCTGGGAAATCTTCATCAGTGAGGCATTTTCCACCACGACAAGCTCCTGCTTATGCCTCTCATCTAACAAGGGTATTTTTGCAAGAGTTTCGATGGAAAATCATTATGTGCCCATCTTACAGTCCTGATTTGGCTCCTCCAACTCTTTTTTGTCTCCCAATCTTAATACAAAATCTGTAAATGTCACTATTTTTCTTCAGTTAAAGTAAAAAAGACTACTGACATAGTTAAATTCCCAGGACCCTCAGTTCTTTAAGAATGGACTGAATGGCTGGTATCATCACTCACAAAAGTGTCTTGAACTTGATGGAGCTTATGTTTTGAAATAATGTTTATGGTTTTATGTTTTAATTCCATTTTTCCACAAACTTTTTGAAGTCCCTTCATATATACTTTGGAAACCATTAATACAATCAAGACAAAAAATATATCCATCATGCGCCAAATTCTGCATTTTTCCTCTATTCTCTTTCTCACCATTAATGACTTTATTTTTACAAAATGAGAAAAAAAGTATTTTATACTCACTTAAATAAAAGTATTATATATTTACTTATTTCCAGTCCTTCTGATATCTTTGTTTAGATCCAAATATTCATTTGGCATTATTTTTTATTTTTTTTTTATTATTATACTTTAAGTTTTAGGGTACATGTGCACAATGTGCAGGTTACATATGTATACATGTGACATGCTGGTGCGCTGCACCCACTAACTCGTCATCTAGCATTAGGTATATCTCCCAATGCTATCCCTCCCCCCTACCCCACCTCACAACAGTCCCCAGAGTGTGATGTTCCCCTTCCTGTGTCCATGTGTTCTCATTGTTCAATTCCCACCTATGAGTGATAAAGTGTGGTGTTTGGTTTTTGTTCTTGCGATAGATTACTGAGAATGATGATTTCCAATTTCATCCATGTCCCTACAAAGGACATGAACTCATCATTTTTTGTGGCTGCATAGTATTCCATGGTGTATATGTGCCACATTTTCTTAATCCAGTCTATAATTGTTGGACATTTGGGTAGGTACCAAGTCTTTGCTATTGTGAATAGTGCCGCAATAAACATACGTGTACATGTGTCTTTATAGCAGCATGATTTATAGTCCTTTGGGTATATACCCAGTAATGGGATGGCTGGGTCAAATGGTATTTCTAGTTCTAGATCCCTGAGGAATCACCACACTGACTTCCACAATGGTTGAACTAGTTTACAGTCCCACCAACAGTGTAAAAGTGTTCCTATTTCTCCACATCCTCTCCAGCACCTGTTGTTTCCTGACTTTTTAATGATTGCCATTCTAACTGGTGTGAGATGATATCTCATTGTGGTTTTGATATGCATTTCTCTGATGGCCAGTGATGGTGAGCATTTTTTCATGGGTTTTTTGGGTGCATAAATGTCTTCTTTTGAGAAGTGTCTGTTCATGTCCTTCGCCCACTTATTGATGGGGTTATTTGTTTTTTTCTTGTAAATTTGTTTGAGTTCATTGTAGATTCTGGATATTAGCCCTTTGTCAGATGAGTAGGTTGCGAAAATTTTCTCCCATTTTGTGGGTTGCCTGTTCACTCTGATGGTAGTTTCTTTTGCTGTGCAGAAGCTCTTTAGTTTAATTAGATCCCATTTGTCAATTTTGGCTTTTGTTGCCATTGCTTTTGGTGTTTTAGACATGAAGTCCTTGCCCATGCCTATGTCCTGAATGGTATTGCCTACGTTTTCTTCTAGGGTTTTTATGGTTTTAGGTCTAACGTTTAAGTCTTTAATCCATCTTGAATTGATTTTTGTATAAGGTGTAAGGAAGGGGTCCAGTTTCAGCTTTCTACATATGGCTAGCCAGTTTTCCCAGCACCATTTATTAAATAGGAAATCCTTTCCCCATTGCTTGCTTTTCTCAGGTTTGTCAAAGATCAGATATTTGTAGATATGCAGCATTTTTTCTGAGGGCTCTGTTCTGTTCCATTGATCTATATCTCTGTTTTGGTACCAGTACCATGCTGTTTTGGTTACTGTAGCCTTGTAGTATAGTTTGAAGTCAGGTAGCATGATGCCTCCAGCTTTGTTCTTTTGGCTTAGGATTGACTTGGCCATGCGGGCTCTTTTTTGGTTCCATATGAACTTTAAAGTAGTTTTTTCCAATTCTGTGAAGAAAGTCATTGGTAGCTTGATAGGGATGGCACTGAATCTATAAATTACCTTGGGCAGTATGGCCATTTTCACGATATTGATTCTTCCTACCCATGAGCATGGAATATTCTTCCATTTGTTTGTATCCTCTTTTATTTCATTGAGCAGTGGTTTGTAGTTCTCCTTGAAGAGGTCCTTCACATCCCTTGTAAGTTGGATTCCTAGGTATTTTATTCTCTTTGAAGCAATTGTGAATGGGAGTTCACTCATGATTTGGCTCTCTGTTTGTCTGTTATTGGTGTATAAGAATGCTTGTGATTTTTGTACATTGATTTTGTATCCTGAGACTTTGCTGAAGTTGCTTATCCGCTAAGGAGATTTTGGGCTGAGACAATGGGATTTTCTAGATATACAATCACGTCATCTGTAAACAGGGACAATTTGACTTCCTCTTTTCCTAATTGAATACCCTTATTTCCTTCTCCTGCCTAATTGCCCTGGCCAGAACTTCCAACACTATGTTGAATAGGAGTGGTGAGAGAGGGCATCCCTGTCTTGTGCCCGTTTTCAAAGGGAATGCTTCCAGTTTTTGCCCATTCAGTATGATATTGGCTGTGTGTTTGTCATAGATAGCTCTTATTATTTTGAGATATGTCCCATCAATACCTAATTTATTGAGAGTTTTTAGCATGAAGGGTTGTTGAATTTTGTCAAAGGCCTTTTCTGCATCTATTGAGATAATCATGTGGTTTTTGTCTTTGGTTCTGTTTATATGCTGGATTACATTTATTGATTTGTATATATTGAACCAGCCTTGCATCCCAGGGATGAAGTCCACTTGATCGTGGTGGATAAGCTTTTTGATGTGCTGCTGGATTCGGTTTGCCAGTATTTTATTGAGGATTTTTGCATGAATGTTCAACAAGGATATTGGTCTAAAATTCTCTTTTTTGGTTGTGTCTCTGCCCGGCTTTGGTATCAGGATGATGCTGGCCTCATAAAATGAGTTAGGGAACATTCCCTCTTTTTCTATTGATTGGAACAGTTTCAGAAGGAATGGTACCAGTTCCTCCTTGTACCTCTGGTAGAATTCGGCTGTGAATCCATCTGGTCCTGCACTCTTTTTGGTTGGTAAGCTATTGATTATTGCCACAATTTCAGCTCCTGTTGTTGGTCTATTCAGAGATTCAACTTCCTCCTGGTTTAGTCTTGGGAGAGTGTATGTGTCAAGGAATTTACCCATTTCTTCTAGATTTTCTAGTTTATTTGCGTAGAGGTGTTTGTAGTATTCTCTGATGGTAGTTTGTATTTCTGTGGGATCGGTGGTGATATCCCCTTTATCATTTTTTATTGCGTCTATTTGATTCTTCTCTCTTTTTTTCTTTATTAGTCTTGCTAGCAGTCTATCAATTTTGTTGATCCTTTCAAAAAACAAGCTCCTGGATTCACTAATTTTTTGAAGGGCTTTTTGTATCTCTATTTCCTCCAGTTCTGCTCTGATTTTAGTTATTTCTTGCCTTCTGCTAGCTTTTCAATGTGTTTGCTCTTGGTTCTCTAGTTCTTTTAATTGTGATGTTAGGGTGTCAATTTTGGATCTTTCCTGCTTTCTCTTGTGGGCATTTAGTGCTATAAATTTCCCTCTACACACTGCTTTGAATGTGTCCCAGAGATTCTGGTACGTTGTGTCTTTGTTCTCGTTGGTTTCAAAGAACATCTTTATTTCTGCCTTCATTTTGTTATGTACCCAGTAGTCATTCAGGAGCAGGTTGTTCAGTTTCCATACAGTTGAGCGGTTTTGAGTGAGTTTCTTAATCCTGAGTTCTAGTTTGATTGCACTGTGGTCTGAGAGACAGTTTGTTATAATTTCTGTTCTTTTACATTTGCTGAGGAGAGCTTTACTTCCAACTATGTGGTCAATTTTGGAATAGGTGTGGTGTGGTGCTGAAAAAAATGTATATTCTGTTGATTTGGGGTGGAGAGTTCTGTAGATGTCTATTAGGTCTGCTTGGTGCAGAGCTGAATTCAATTCCTGGGTATCTTTGTTGACTTTCTGTCTCGTTGATCTGTCTAATGTTGACAGTGGGGTGTTAAAATCTCCCACTATTAATGTGTGGGAGTCTAAGTCTCTTTGTAGGTCACTAAGGACTTGCTTTATGAATCTGGGTGCTCCTGTATTGGGTGCATATATATTTAGGATAGTTAGCTCTTCTTGTTGAATTGATCCCTTTACCATTATATAATGGCCTTCTTTGTTCCTTTTGATCTTTGTTGGTTTAAAGTCTGTTTTATCAGAGACTCGGATTGCAACCCCTGCCTTTTTTTGTTTTCCATTTGCTTGGTAGATCTTCCTCCATCCTTTTATTTTGAGCCTATGTGTGTCTCTGCATGTGAGATGGGTTTCCTGAATACAGCACACTGATGGGTCTTGACTCTTTATCCAATTTGCCAGTCTGTGTCTTTTAATTGGAGCATTTAGTCCATTTACATTTAAAGTTAATATTGTTATGTGTGAATTTGAACCTGTCATTATAATGTTAGCTGGTTATTTTGCTCGTTAGTTGATGCAGTTTCTTCCTAGTCTCGATGGTCTTTACATTTTGGCATGATTTTGCAGCAGCTGGTACCGGTTGTTCCTTTCCATGTTTAGTGCTTCCTTCAGCAGCTCTTTTAGGGCAGGCCTGGTGGTGACAAAATCCCTCAGCATTTGCTTGTCTGTAAAGGATTTTATTTCTCCTTCACTTATGAAGCTTCATTTGGCTGGATATGAAATTCTGGGTTGAATATTCTTTTCTTTAAGAATGTTCAATATTGGCCCCCACTCTCTTCTGGCTTGTAGAGTTTCTGCAGAGAGATCCGCTGTTACTCTGATGGGCTTCCCTTTGTGGGTAACCCGACCTTTCTCTCTGGCTGCCCTTAACATTTTTTCCTTCATTTCAACTTTGATGAATCTGACAATTACGTGTCTTGCAGTTGCTCCTCTCGAGGAGTATCTTTGTGGCATTCTCTGTATTTCCTGAATCTGAATGTTGGCCTGCCTTGCTATACTGGGGAAGTTCTCCAGGATAATATCCTGCAGAGTGTTTTCCAACTTGGTTCCATTCTCCCCATCACTTTCAGGTACACCAATCAGACGTAGATTTGGTCTTTTCACATAGTCCCATATTTCTTGGAGGCTTTGTTTGTTTCTTTTTATTCTTTTTTCTCTAAACTTCCCTTCTCGCTTCATTTTATTCATTTCATCTTCCATCGCTGATACCCTTTCTTCCAGTTGATCGCATCGGCTACTGAGGCTTCTGCATTCTTCACATAGTTCTCGAGCCTTGGCTTTCAGCTCCATCAGCTCCTTTAAGCAGTTCTCTGTATTGGTTATTCTAGTTATACATTCGTCTCAATTTTTTTCAAAGTTTTTAACTTCTTTGCCTTTGGTTTGAATTTCCTCCTGTAGCTCGTAGTTTGATCGTCTGAAGCCTTCTTCTCTCAACTCGTCAAAGTCATTCTCTGTCCAACTTTGTTCCATTGCTGGTGAGGAACTGCAATCCTTTTGAGGAGGAGAGGTGCTCTGCTTTTTCTCCTCTGTTTTTTTCCCATCTTTGTGGTTTCATCTACTTTTGGTCTTTGATGATTGTGATGTAAAGATGGGTTTTTGGTGTGGATGTCCTTTCTGTTTGTTAGTTTTCCTTCTAACAGACAGGACCCTCAGCTGCATGTCTGTTGGAGTTTGCTAGAGGTCCACTCCAGACCCTGTTTGCCTGGGTATTAGCAGCAGTGGCTGCAGAACAGTGGTTTTTCGTGAACCGCGAATGCTGCTGTCTGATCGTTCCTCTGGAAGTTTTGTCTCAGAGGAGTACCCGGCCGTGTGAGGTGTCAGTCTGCCCCTACTGGGGGGTGCCTCCCAGTTAGGCTGCTCAGGGGTCAGGGGTCAGAGACCCACTTGAGGAGGCAGTCTGCCCATCCTCAGATCTCCAGCTGCGCGCTGGGAGAACCTCTGCTCTCTTCAAAGCTGTCAGACAGGGACATTTAAGTCTGCAGAGGTTACTGCTGTCTTTTTGTTTGTCTGTGCCCTGCCCCGAGAGGTGGAGCCTACAGAGGCAGGCAGGCCTCCTTGAGCTGTGGTGGTCTCCACCCAGTTGGAGCTTTCCGGCTGCTTTGTTTACCTAAGCAAACCTGGGCAATGGCGGGCACCCCTCCCCCAGCCTCACTGCCGCCTTGCAGTTTGATCTCAGACTGCTGTGCTAGCAATCAGGGAGACTCCATGGGCGTAGGACCCTCCGAGCCAGGTGCAGGATATAAACTCCTGATGCGCCGTTTTTTAAACCCATCTGAAAAGTGCAGTATTCAGGTGGGAGTGACCCGATTTTCCAGGTGCCGTCTGTCACCCCTTTCTTTGACTAGGAAAGGGAACTCCCTGACCCTTTGCGCTTCCCGAGTGAGGCAATGCCTCGCCCTGCTTCGGCTTGCGCATGGTGCACTGCACCCACTGACCTGCGCCCACTGTCTGGCACTCCCTAGTGAGATGAACCTGGTACCTCAGATGGAAATGCAGAAATCACCCGTCTTCTGCGTCGCTCACGCTGGGAGCTGTAGACCGGAGCTGTTCCTATTCGGCCATCTTGGCTCCTCCCCGATCTTTTTCCACATTTGGCATTATTTTGATTTTTTTGTGAAAAACTTTAGTATTTCTTACAATGCAAGTCTGGTGGTTGTGAATTCTTTTTGATTTTAGCATTTGAGAAAGTCTTTATTTTGTTTTCATAAAAAACCACCTTTTTAAATTGTAAAATCTTTGTTTATGAAAGATATTTGCTGAGTATAGAATTCTGAATTGATAACGTGTTTTTCTTTTAGCATTTTAAAGACTTCCTCCTTGTTTTCTGGTTTGTATTGCCTAAAAGTTGGCTGTCATTCTTATCTTTGGTCCTATCTATGTAATGTGCTTTTATCTCTGGTCACTTTCAAGATTTTGTCTTTATCACTTGCTTCAAGAAATTTGATTATGATGTGCATTGATGTTGTTTTCTTCAGGACTTTTAAAACTTGGAGTTTGCCCAGCACGTTGGGAGGCCGAGGTGGGCAGATCATGAGGTCAGGAGATCAAGACCATCCTGGCTAACACGGTGAAACCCCGTCTCTACTAAAAATACAAAAAATTAGCCGGACATGGTGGTGGGTGCCTGTAGTCCCCGCTACTTGGGAGGCTGAGGCAGGAGAATGGCATGAACCCGGGAGGCGGAGCTTGCAGTGGGCCAAGATCACACCACTACACTCCAGCCTGGGTGACACAGTGAGACTCCGTCCCAAAAACAAAAAACAAAAAACAAACAACAACAACAACAAAACTTGGAGTTTGCCAAACACCTCAGAATCGTGGCATATTTTTCATTATTTCTGTAATACTTTCATTCCTTATTTCTTCAAATATTTGTTGTGTACTACTCCTTCTCCCTTCACAGAGTCCAATCACATGTTAGGGACCCTTAAGTTATCTTACAGCTCACTAATGCAAAAATCTTTTTTTTCCCCAGTCTATTTTCCAGGTTTCATCTTGTATAATTTTAAATGCCATGTCTTCAAATTTACTAATCTTTTCTTTTTCAGTGTCTAATCCACTTTGCACCTCAAGTGTATTTTTCATTGCAGTCACTGTATTTTCATCTCTAAAAGTTTAACTTGTGTTTATATTTACATCTTCCATGTTTCCATTTAACATGTTTAATCTTCCTTCTAGCTTACTGAATATTTATAATATACTTGTAATAAAACTTATGTTTTCATCTAATTCTATCATGTCATTTCTTTTTTGTTTTAATTGATTTTTCTCCTTATTATAAATTGTACTTTCTTATTTCTTTGCATGTCTATTATGTTTTAACTGGAAACCAGACACAGAATATTTTATTCTGTTGGGTGCTGGACACTTGAATATTACTATACTTTGAGCTTTGGACTGGGACACAGTTAAGGTACTTGAAAACAGTTGGTTACTTCAGGCCTTGTTTTTAAGCCTCATTAGACAGGACCACAGCAGTGTTTTATAATGTGGGAATAATTTTGCTCTTTACCAATGCAAAACTCTTCTAAATACTCCACCTGATGCCTCATGAATTATGAAGTTTTTCACTCTGGCATGTGGGAGCAGGAATTACTGTTGGCCCTGGGGATTGTTACTTCTAATATTGTCAGGTAGTTCTTTCTCTAGCCTCAGGCCATCTCCTCGTGTACAAGTACAGGTGAGCACTCATCTGAAGACTAGAGGGAGACCGACCCTATGCAGATCTCTAACTCACTCGATGCATACCTCTTCCCTTTCAGGTACTCTGATTTATAAATAGAATTTCCTTGACCTCCTTGTGATCCTAGCTGTGTCTCCTGAAGGTCACCTTATCTTGTATTTCTCTTCTTTGCACTGTGGCTTGGAAACACTGTACTCAGTAAGGTAGGGAAATGACAGGGTTTGCCTTCTTTGTTTTGTATATCTCAGGTATCACTTTTATTATCTGATGCCAAGTGTTTCGAAAACTGTTGTTTCCTATACCCTGTGCTGCTTTTTATGTTTGTTTTTTGTTTTTTAGCTATTTCAGGCATGAGGAGAAATCTGGACCTTGTTAATCTATCTTGGTCAGACATGTGCAGCTTGGTCAGACACGGTGTATTTTTTAAGAGTCTGTTTTGCTTTTAACTGTAGTTTTATATTTTATATTTTACTCTCCTACATCATAAAATTATTGTATGACTAAGTCTTTGCAACACCCAATTACTTGCATAAATGACTGGCTATTTTATAAAAGCTTGATGAAAAAGGTAATATTTCTTTTATAGCTTCAAACTCCTTCACATAATCTAAAGAAGGATATGTAAAGTACACTAAGATTTTTAATACTTACTTGTACAAATTCAAGGCACCCCTAAGAAAGATGTCAGGGATTAGTTTTGAAATTAATGTGTTCTCTAAAGCAAACTGTGCAAATTTTTAACATCAGCTACCTGGGTTGAAAGAGGAAAAAATAAAAATAAAAAACTTTATTTTCAAAAGCATATACAGGCATTTCTGCTTCTGGCTGGCAAAATTTTCCTATGATGGCTATATAGATGTTTGATATAAAATCTTAGTCTCGGTATATTGTGGAATATGTCATGAAGAACCTGTGTAGCTTACTTACAACAATGGTTTTGGCCTTTACTCCACTGCTCCTAGCAAGTGTAGCACTGTCCAGAAGTTGGCCAAGATGATAAAAGCCAGAAAACAGAGCAAAAGAAAACACCAAGAAATATTGTAAAAAGTAAACAACTACAAAAGAGATTGAGAAAAAAATAAGCCCTACAACCAGAGGAAAATCAATCAAATACAGGTTTCTGCTTTGGATTTCATAACAATATTATTTAACAAGCAAAGTCTGAATCATATGAACGAATTATTTTAGTTTTGACCTCAGCATTATAGTGACTTTTATACTAAGGCAAAGAAGTTTGTTGGCATTTGTTCACAGGTATTATGAATTAGTATTTATTATGTTACAAATTCCTTATAAATGACTAATTTGCCATTTTGCAAACTATGTACTAAAATTAAAATATCCTATGGAAAAATGACTTTAGATTATGAACTCTATTCAAATAATGTCTTAAATTAGGATTCTGTTATGGACAAAGAAACTAAGAATTCTAAAAGTTAAAAGTGTCCTCTCTGAGGGAAAAAGTGTGCTTTGGCTTAAAGATTCAGTACATCAATGACATATTTTATCATAGAAGAGAATCATTTGTGGCATTCTCCAAGAAAACTAATATTAATCAATGAGTACTTCTAATTTCTGATTCTTCTGATTTATACCTCTGGCATACTGGTAATATAATTACCAAACAATCTACAGTTGTTTTCTTTATCTAATGTTTTCCAGAATTCTCTTATTATCATGACTGTGTAGAATATTACCTATCAGATATAATAATTTTTATATGTATGAACATTTTAATTTCCTTAGATACATTTAGAATGAAATTATGATTAAAGCTTGCAGTAGGCTGGATGCGGTGGCTGATGCCTGTAATCCCAGAACTTTGGGAGGCCCAGGTGGGAGAATCCCTTGAGACCAGGAATTCAAGACCAGTCTGGCAACATAGTGAGACCTCATCTCTTCAAAATTAAAAGAAAAAAAATTGCCTAAAGCTTGCAGTAAAAATGGCAAATACTGTAGTGCCTTGGAATCAGTTTATTTTTGCTTGTGCTAAGTAGAAATGTAAAATATTTAAAATTCTTATCAGCCAATTTGCTGATTATATAGATGTCCCTTTTGTTTTTATTCCATTATTTGCTGTAACTCATATACTTTATCTAACAGTTTCAGGCTGAAAATTCAAATTTCAAGTTTCTTTTAAGGACTTCTTAAGAGTAACAGTTAAGTGATACTTTGTTAGTAGTATAGAAAAGCTTAGACTTTGGAAAATTTGCTTTGCCATAGTAGTCAAAATGAAGATGTTATAATTAGAAGCAAAAAATTAAAGGATGTTTTTCCCCTTTCTTCAATAAGAAGTGTAAACTAGAATTTTTTGCTATTAAGCATGACTTTTGTGAATGCCTGGTCTAGTAATTTTATTTAGTGTCAGTTTTTAGTAGCTTAATATTTCCCCAACTCTCATATGAACTTTAAAAAATTTGTTCAAAAACATTAGTTTAAAATGTAATCCTATGTTCAAATAAATTTGATACTTTTTACTGAGATTTTAAAAAATGTATGGTTCCGTTAATGCATTTAAATATAGTTTGTATATATACAAACATATATCTTGTTTACATATATAAACAATATTTTTTCATGAAACATTCAAAATGCAATATTAAGTTCATATATTCTATACCTGTAAAATGTTGGCAGGATCCTCTTTAGCAGATGCAACCAACAAAGTATGCCCATTGACAATTCCTTCTGCCAGGAAATACTTGAAGAGCAAAGGTGAGTAAATATTATATTTATCCTCCTCTGTAAAAAGGAAAAGTTGCAGTTAGAAACATATAGCAAGAAAAGAATCAAATGGCTATCAAACAGCAAGCACACTCATATGTTTTTATATTTTTTTTCCTTAAAACAAGTATATGAGGTGGAACAAAAACTGCGTATTCCTGAGGCATAGATAGATAGGCTAAGAGACTTGTAAAGAGAGTCAATGAGAACTAGGCACTTTTTTTTTGAGACGGAGTCTCGTTCTGTCGCCCAGGCTGGAGGTGCAGTGGCGCAATCTCGGCTCACTGCAAGCTCTGCCTGGGTTCACGCCATTCTCCTGCCTCAGCCTCCCGAGTAGCAGGCGCCTGCCACCAGGCCCGGCTAATTTTTCTGTATTTTTAGTAGACACAGGGTTTCACTGTGTTAGCCAGGATGGTCTCGATCTCCTGACCTCGTGATCTGCCCGCCTTGGCCTCTCAAAGTGCTGGGATTACAGGCGTAAGCCACCGCGCCCGGCCAGAACTAGGTACTTTTAATAGACTTTCTGGTTCCAGACATCATTCTCCAACTACTACATCACTTTGATATCCACAAAATTACCCCCTGCACATACATACACACTTCAGGTATAGGGAACTTCACTAGTAAATTTAAATATTTGAAGGAAAAAATAATACCAATACTTAAACTCAGCAAAAAGGAAAAGGAAACAATTCCCACTTTATAGGCCCATCATTACTCTAACATCAAAATCAAAGAGTTTTACAAAACTACACATCATTATCAAATTTTAGGAGGTCATAATACCAATCCCACATGTACTCTTTTCAGAAAAGAGGAAAGGATGAAACACTTCTAAACTCATTTTATGAGGCCAGTGTTACCCCAATACCAAAATAGAACAAGATACAACAGAAACAGAAAGCTACAGACTATGCCTCGTGAAAATATATGAAAATAATTCTTTAAATATCATAAAACCAAATATGGTAATAGAATATACATTTATATTAGATATAATTAATATAATTTGGTTTTAAATACTGTAAAACCAAATCCAGTAATATTACATCTTCAACTTGACACATGGGATCTACAAAAAACCTATAGGTATCATCATACATGATAAGATGCAATGCTTTTCTTCTGAGATCGGGAAAAATGGAGGTATATTCACTTTCATCACTTCTAATCAATATCGTATGGAAGGTCTTAGCTGTGTAATGTTACTGGCTTTGGTTTTATGGCATTTAAAACAAAATTATAATAATTATATATATTATAATCATATAAGTATATAATACATAATACAATATAATTATATTGTAGTTATATAACTATTATATAGTAATGCAATATAATAGAGTAATTATAATTATATTGTCATTACTGTAATATATAGAATTGTAATTCTATAATTATATTGCATTAATATATTTTATATAGTAATATATATCATATTACTGGATTTGGCTTTAAGTATTTAAAGAATTATACTATACTAATACTATACTAATTATACTACACTAATATATTGATTGTACTTCTACATAATAGTAACAAAAATAGGAACTGAAATTTTAGAAATCCCACCTGCAATTAAATATTTTGGATAAATTTAACGAAATATGTGTATGAATTAGTTCTACAGTGAAAAGTACAAAACATTCTGAGAGTATAGAAGACCTAAATAAATGGAGAGATATATCATGTTCATGGGATAGAAGACTCAAATCTTCAAACTGATCTGTAGATTTAATGGAATCCCAATAAAAATTCCAGTAAGCTTTTTGGAGAAACTGACAAGGTAATTCTAAAATTTACAAAGAAATCCAAGGTCATAGAATACAGGTGATATGGTTTGGGTCTGTGTCCCTGCCCAAATCTCATGTCAAATTGTAGTCCCCGGTGTTGGAGGTGGGCCTGGTGGGAGGTGATTGGTTCATGGTGGTGGATTTCCCCTTTGGTGCCGTTCTCATGATAGTGAGTTATCATGAGATCTGGTTGTTTAAAAGTGTGTAGCACCTCCCCACTCTTTCTCTTCCTCCTGCTCCTGCCATGTGAGATGTGCCTGCCTCCCCTTTGCCTTTGGCCATGACTTTTAAGTTTTCTAACCTAGCCATGCTTCCTGTATGGCCTGCAGAACCATGAGCCAATTAAACCTATTTTCTTTACAAATTACCCAGTCTCAATTATTTCTTTAGAGCAGTGCGAGAAGGGACTAATACAACAGTCAAAGAAATCTGAACAAAGAACACAGTTGGAAAACTTATCATTTTATTTCAAGACTTACTATAAGCTACAGCAATCAAGGTAATGTGGAATTAGCAAAAGGACAGAAATATATATCAGTGGAAAAGAATAGAGTCCAGAAATAAATCCATACAATCGGTTTTTGACAAAGGTGGAGAAATAATTTTTTTTGTAACAAATGGTCCTGCAATAACTGAATATCCATATTTAAACAACAAAAAGCGATAAAAACTTCAATCTTGCCTCATAGTACACTCAATCAAAAAACAGCAAAAACCTCCATCTTACCTCTTGTACTAGTACTAAATATTAGCTTGAAATGGATCACAGAGTTAAACAAAAAAGCTGAAATAATTAAAACTATTAGAAGAAAATGCCTTCTTTGCAACCTTGGAGTAGGCAAATGTTTCTTAGGACATGAAAGCATGAACTGGAGAAAAAAATGAATAAATTAAACTTCATAAAAATGTTTACAATTTACCTTTGAAAAGACAGCTAATAGGAAGATTTAAAACAGGCAAACTACAGATAGAAGATATTTGCAATACATATACATAGTAGAGGACTGGTATCCAGAATATATTTTAGCAACTTTCATAATGCAGTAAGAACACAAACTGGGCAACATAAAAATGAGCAAAAGATGTGAACACATGCTTTACAAAAAAAGATACATGAATGGCCAAAAAACATATTAAAAGATGTTCAACTGACAAGTATGTGGAGCAAATAAAATGCTCCAACATTGTTAGTTGCAATGCAAAACACTATAACTACATTAGAAAACAGTTTGGCAGACCAGATGCGGTGGCTCATGTCTGTAATCCCCATGCTTTGAGAGGCCGAGGCAAGTGGATTGCTTGAGGTCAGGAGTTGGAGACTAGCCTGGCCAACATAGCGAAATCCCGCCTTTACTAAAAACACAAAAATTACCTGGGAATGCTTGCACATGCGTATAATCCCAGCTACTCAGGAGGCTGAGGCAGGAGAATTGCTTGAACCTGGGAAGTGGAGGTTGCAGTGAGCCGAGATTACGCCACTGCACTCCAGCCTGGGTGACAGAGCAAGACGCCGTCTCAAACAAATCAGAACAAAACAAAACAAAAACAGTTTGGCAGTTTCCAAAAAAGTTAAACAAACACTTATTATACGATCCAGGAATTCTACTCTTGGGTACTTACCCATGAGAGTTGAAAATATATGTCTGCATAGATTTATACAGAAGGTTTATGACAGCTTTTTTTTTTAATAGCCAAAAACTGAAAACAAATAAAATGTCCATCAACTACTTGCTGAAGGGAGAAAACAAATGATATATTCCTAAATGGATTACTACTCAGCAATAAAAAGAAATAAACTACTAATTTGCAGTAGTTTCTTGGTATCCACAGGGGACTGGGTACCAAGGACATCCAGGATTGGATATCTAGGATACTCCATGAATACCAAAATCCAAGGATGCTTAGTACCTTACATTTTGCCCTCTGTATCCAAGGATGTGGTACATGCTAATACAGAGGCCTGACTATACATGCAACAACATGGGTAAATCTCAAAAAACATTATGCTAAGTGGAAAAAAGCCAGATACAAAAAAAGCACATATGGCAAAACTGCAGTTACACGATATTCTATAGAAAGCAAAATTAATCTCTAATGACAGAAAGGAGAGGTTAGGTGCTTGGGGCCAGGAAACTGAGCACCAGGAAACACTTTATGGTGACAGAAGTGTTTTATATCTTGATTGTGGTGGTGGCTGCATGAGTATATACAGTCGTAAAAAGTCACTAAAATAAGTAAATGTGCTTGGCACAGTCACTCGCTTCTGTAATCCTCATGCTTTGGGAGGCCAAGATGGCAGGGTCACTTTGAGGCGAGGAGTTTGAGACAAGCCTGAGCAATACAGTGATACCTCAGCTCTACAAAAAATAATAAAAAATTAGCTGGGTGTGGTGGTGTGCACTGGTAGTCCTAGCTACTTGGGAGGCTGAGGTGGGAGGATCCCTTGGCCCCAAGAGCTCCAGGATGCAGTGAGCCATGATTGTACCACTGCGCTCCAGCCTGGGGAACAGAACGAGAACCTGGCTCAAAAATAATTCAATAAAATAAATAAACAAATGGGTGCATTTTATTGTATATAAATTAAAATTCAATAACATTTATTTATTAAAACAATTCCCTAAAGTATGACCAAAATATCAGGTGGTGAGTTGTTTAGATACCTTCTTAGCACATTATCTTAGAGAAAATCCATGATTAAAAGTATGGTCAATTTACACAAAGTCTAATTTTATATATTAAAACACATAGCTAGTTCTTTAACATTATTTGTCACTCACAAAATGTACTTAATGATTTAGGGACATTTTATGAGAATTTTAGTGTGTTACGGCAAAGGAAAATGTTTTCAATGCTTCTGCATTGCTTACAGCTGACAGATGGAAAAGCTAGCAGAGACAACTATGGGAGAGATGATCAGCACTGACTACTGATTAATACAGCTGTAACACTGGAAAAATTGCTTACTTTGTATAACTAAGAATTCACCTTCACTCAACTTTGGAACTAACTAGAAAGTCATGTTTAAAAAATAATTGATTTTACCTGAAGTAATTACTATTAAGTCAGTTTAGAGAAGCAAACATTTAAACCATGGTCATTATAAATCGATATAAGAAACAAACCTGACATTAAAATTTTTAATTTCTAAGATTGATATTTTTACAAAATGGAAAATTTAAATTTTAAAAAATTCACCCACAGTCCTCAAATAATCCTTGCTTAAAGTTTGCTCTATTTCCTTTCAGTACTTTTTCTATGTTTTCAGTGATTACTGGATTTGGTATCCTACTTTTTTCACTTAATCTAACATGCTTTATAGTCTTGTAGCTAACATGTTTAAGGCTGAATAATATTCTAGAAAACTTATGAACCATACATACATTACATAGCTATACCCCCTTACCATGGACTTTTCATGCAGCTTTTAGGGTTTTATTGGTACTAAATATAGAAGAATAAGGATGCTTCAGGTCCAACATGCCCAAGATGAAACCCAGTAACTCATTTTCTTGCACCAAATGTGGCCCTCTTTCAGTTTTCAGAAAGCCAGAATTTATCCCCAATATCTCCTCTTTCTCTCTCTCTCGCTCTCATACACACACACACACACACACACACACCAATCCACCTCTCTCCCCATCCTTATAATCCAGTGAAACGTATTAGCAAAGTATCAAAGTATTTGTGGGATTTGATTACTTCCTCCATGCTAATGTCATTCCACGAGTCATACTACTAACAACTCTTAACTGGCCGGGTACCGTGGCTCACGCCTGTAATCTCAGCACTTTGGGAGGCCGAGGCGGGCGGATCACGAGGTCAGGAGATCGAGACCATCCTGGCTAACATGGTGAAACCCGTCTCTAGTAAAAAATACAAAAACATTAGCTGGGCGTGGTGGCGGGAGCCTGTAGTCCCAGCTACTCGGGAGGCTGTGCCAGGAGAATGGCGTGAACCCGGGAGGAGGAGCTTGCAGTGAGCCGAGATCGCTCCACTGCACTCCAGCCTGGGCGACAGAGTGAGACTCCGTCTCAAACAAAACAAAACAAAACAAAACAAAAACAAAAAAAACTCTTACCTAAATGACTGTAACTGTCTCTTATTTCTTTGCATTCACCCTAATCCTCCTCCTTCAATTTAGTAGTAACATTTTCAAAATGCAAACCTGATGATCTCATTTCCCTACTTAAAACTTTTCAGGCCGGGCGCGGTGGCTCATGCCTGTAATCCCAGCACTTTGGGAGGCCAAGGCGGGCGGATCACGAGGTCAGGAGATCGAGACCATCCTGGCTAACACGGTGAAACCCCGTCTCTACTAAAAAATACAAAAAGAAAAAAAAAATTAGCCGGGCTTGATGGCCGGCGCATGTAGTCCCAGCTACTTGGCAGGCTGAGGCAGGAGAATGGCGTTAACTCGGGAGGCGGAGCTTGCAGTGAGCCGAGATAGCGCCACTGCAGTCTGGCCTGGGCGAAAGAGCGAGACTCTGTCACAAAAAAAAAAAAAAAAAAAAAAAAAAAGAATGAGATGGCTTTTGCAGCAACACGGATGAAACTGGAGGCCATTATCCTAAATGAAATAACTCAGAAACAGAAAACCAAATACCACACGTTTTTACTTATAAATGACAACAGCTACATGGACATACAGAGTGGAATAACAGACAGTGGAGACTACAAAAGGTGGAAGAGTGGTAAGGGGGTAAAGGTTTAAAAACTACCTATTGGGTACAATGCTCACCATTTGGGTGATAACATGAAGAAGCCAGACTTCACCACTGTGCAATATATGCATGTAAAAAATCTGTACTTGTGGCCGGGCACAGTGGCTCATGCCTGTAATCCCAGCACTTTGGGAGGCCAAGGCGGGTGGATCACCTGAGATCAGGAGTTTGAGACCATCCTGACCACCAACATGATGAAACCCTGTCTCTACTAAAAAAATACAAAATTAGCCAGGCGTGGTGGTGCACGCCTGTAATCTCAGCTACTTGGGAGGCTGAGGCAGGAGAATTGCTTAAATCCGGAAGGCAGAGGTTACAATGAGCCGAGATCACACCATTGCACTCCAGCCTGGGCAACGAGAGCAAAACTCCATTTCAAAAAAAAAAAAAAAAAACCAACAAAAAAAAGAAATCTGTACTTGTACACCCTGAGAACATAAAAATTAAAAAATAAAAATAAAATATACATGACTGTTGTTTAACAACTTTTTAGTAATGAGAGAAAGAAACCTAAACTATTTAATTAGAAGAATTAAAACTTTCATAAAGTTACGGATGCATATTACAATACTCAACTAAGAGAATGAACTATATCAGATCAGTACTACTTAAAGTAGGGATATGTACTCGTAGATAATTAAAAAAACTGAGTGATTTATGAGTAATGAAGGATAATAAACAAACTAGATGTCACAGTTGTCTTTTTCTACCTATCTCTTAAATGAGTGAGGGTTCTGACTTTTTTCTTGCTCCCCATACTATCCTTAGTGATCTTTTCTTTATCTCTAGCTCAGCTTTCTCCGTGCTAAGCTCCAGGCATTGACATCATGCTATTTATTTGCATATTGTTAACTAGACATAGTACTTAGCAAACATGTTTTATGTTATCTTATCTTTACTTCAATGTGCCAACAGAATTTCATGACATGTCCAAATGGGAAACTGTATTTTTTCCTCTTCCTTGCTGCCCATCTTCTGGTGGTAACATGCTAATTCGTTAAGTTATTTGGTAACCATTTCCTTTGGGCTTGAGGTTTCTTCAACTATGATATAGGAATAATAAAATTATACCTACCTCATAAGACTGTGGCAAGATTTAAATACTTAAATCAGTGCCTTGTGCGTAGTTAAGTGGTCAATAAATGTTAGCTACTATGGTTTTCATTCTCAGCTCTTCCCTTTCCTTTTTATCCCCACAAATAATCACGGCTTTAACTTCCTAAATCTTTAAAATCCATCCACTTCCTTCCATCTTTACTGACAATAATGTAGTTCAATTCATCCTTACCTCTCACTATCAGCCTCCCAATTGGTCCCTGTATCTCTAACCTTACTCCTCCCTCCAATCTATTCTCCACATTACTCAAGAGTATATTTTTCTAAAGAGCAAATCTAATCTTGTCACTCCCGTTTCAAAAACTTAAATGGCTTTTCATTGCTCTCAGTCGAAAAACACCCAAAAAGCAAGCCATATAAGCCTCTTTAAATGTTGTATTGCCTTCTTTCCCAATACATTCCCCCTTCCATATTTCATAAATTCCAGGGATAGCAAACTACTTGTTAGCACCACCCATATTGCTCCTTGCCTCAGGACCCTTGTATAAATTCCTTCACAACTCTGGCTAACTAATTTGCTCACCTCCTTCCAGACCAAGATTAGGTGGCACCATTATTAAGAAGCTTTACTCAAGGCTGGGTAAGATATCAGTGTGCTCTGGAGCACCCTCTTAACCCCTAGTAGTATTTAATAAACATTCCTGAAATTCCTCCATGAAGCTAAAAGATTATTATGGCAGAGAATGCATCCTATTATTGTATCTCTAGTGCCCGGCACATAGTATACATATACTTAATATTTGTAGAATTAATTAGAGGAAAAAACAACAAACAAAAATCGATCTTGTCTTATAAATCATCCACATCTACTATAGTTTGAAAACACACCATTTTATACACATATACACATATATTCTATAATAGTTATCACTTCTGTTTTTTCAAAGAATCATATGAGGCAGGAAAAACTAATAGGGAGATCACCTACTTAGGGATTAGCAAAAACACTAAACTCATCAAGCTGAAAATTACCAATTTTGTGAAACAAATTTTGAGGTTGTACAATAAGCATTTAATTAATCTATTTAGTGAATCCCCATAACACTGGGCAAGTAAAAATGATAATGATGTGACAGAACTGCCAAAAAGCAAATGTAATTTTGGTCTGAATTAACAGTCTAATTTCTAGGTTCAGAAAGATGCTTGTCCTGTTCTATTCCACAGTAGTCAACCAACCTGATGATAATATATTCAGTTTGGGGACTTACACAAACTAAAGCATCTTCAAAAACAGTGATGGTGAAGGGAGCTGAAAGTATGTGACAATGAGAAATGGAAATATTTAGCTTAAAGAAAGAGACCCGAGAGACATAAGATAGCTGTCTTCAAATATCTGTTGGACTATAAAACGGAAATGGAATTTCATTTGTACATTATGGCTCCAAGGGGTGGAACAAAGCCTAGTGGATAGAAACAACAGGAATATCATTTTTTTCTTAATACAAAAATCCAAATGAGCTGTATCATCACTCCACCAAGACTGCTCTCCAACACCAATTATTTTATAATTGTCTAATTTGTTGGATATTTGTAAATCCTTACCTTATTTATTTATGGGAACTATTACCATTGACAACTTTCTTCATGAAACTACTGTACACTCCCTCCCCACCTTTTCCCAGTTTTTATAACTTTTCTCCTGTTTCTTTAGCCATTCTTTGTGTACGTAAACAGTTTATATAGAGCTCTCAAGTTTTTGTTACGTACATATGAAATGATTTTATGTACTTTTTGCTAGTCACTACTTTCAGCTATGCAAGCCAAATCTTCCTTTTCTCATCTTTTAATGATATCCGGAGCTGCTTCCATGATTCTCACTAGTTTCAGTTATTAAAACTTGGAACTGTCCAGTTAAAAACTTAGTCAATAGTCAATTACAACATTTTCCACTAAGGCTTGTGACTTGAAATACTTAGTAAGGCGGTGTTAAGTGGAGGGGGCAGCAGTGAGAAAAGGAAGTTCTAAGATACCTCTTCCTACAAGTCTTTTCTTCAAGTCCTAGCTCCTATACTGGGAAAGTAAGAAAAAGAAGAGTGGCAGAGATCAGTTTCTGTAATTGCCTGTCTGGCACAGGTAGAGAGATGTCCCTAGCCTCACTCTGACCTGTTGTATTAAGTCTGCTGCTTATACCCTCTAAAATTAGGTGGTTTCCATGCAGATGTTAAGTGTGGTTTGTGGGTGGTACCTTACTTCATTCTGGCCCTATATGTCACTGAAGAACCCCTCAAAGAGGTAGAATCTAGTGTTTTTGGGGCCACTAATTCATCCTCAGTCTCTCTTTGGAAATACTATTACTGTCATTATTCTTCTAGCTGTGTTTGTTTACACAATCTATTCTAGCAGGCCCCCCTCCTTTTCCTATATGAGAAACAGGTAATAGTCTTAATGTTTGAGAATGTTGACAAAATCCAGCAGATATAAAGCAGGCTTTCCCAATAACTCTCTTCCTGCACTATTTAATTTGATGGGCTTGCAGGTTCTAGAGGTTAGCAGGGAATTGGCTGGGAAACAGGAATGTCAAGTTCTGCTTCTTGAAAGCAACTTCAATGTCTACGACTGATGCCCTTGGAGTTGTATCCCCTCACTTGCCTCACTTTTTACCATAAATGTTGTACTCCTGCTTTCTCCAGTCCTTGACTTTATTGCCTGGTAACAGCAGTGACGGTGGTGGAGATATGAGGAAGTATCTGTGCTAGTTCTTTGGGCCTGCCAGGAGGTGGCTGACCCCAATTGTGGGAAAGGGAAAACTTAAGACCTTGTCTTCTTTTTCTCACTGTGGGTATGTGAGAACTCACCAATTCTAGGGTACTCAACATGTGGTTAAAAAACAGCAAATAGCTAATATTATTGAGCACTAACTCTATACTAAACACTGCACTGCACTTCTCATGCATTGGTTTATTTAATCCTCATAATAACTTTTTTTTTTTTTTTCAGACGGAGTCTCACTCTCACGCAGGCTGGAGTGCAGTGGCATATTGACTCACTGCAAATATATATATATATATACACATAGCCAAACACAAATTTTCATGTAATTTCAGGGAGTTAAGAGATCTCCCAAAGTTCCATTCCGGATCCACAAGTATAAACCTGGGCAATCTGCCATTTGTCTATGACAACACTAAAACACACACTGAATAAAACAGTTAAATAATGTTGAAAAATCCTAAATCTTTTTCTCTAGCCTAAATTTCATGCCAGAAAATCCAACTTTCTATTAGGTTGAATGCCTTGGGTTTTTCACTAGTACCTAAAAGTCATTATGTTTAAACTGAATTATTTACCTCACCTCAATATTTGCTCATTCTTTTCCTTTTCTAACTTCACTTAATGGTACTAATTCTAAACTTTCCCAGGATAAAAATCTGGGAATCATCCTACTTTCTGTCTCTCCTTCATCACCTACACATGTATATAGCACAGAAATAGAAATTGGCTTTCTTAAGAGGTACCTATTAAATGAGGAAATATGTAGAAAAATGGTGTTTCATATCAGAGCAGTCTAAGCATAACCCGTTAAACATTTAGAATCTAATATACATACTGAAATACAGAAGTAGAAAAGTAAAATAGCAAATTTATGACAAAAGTCTTAAAAGTATAGTAACAAACATCACCTCATGTTTAGATTAGGGCAATGAGGAGTTTCCATTACTTCAAATTTTACTTTATTTCTGCAGTGTATCCATCATAATATTTCTTAATTGCTCAAAACACTCCATGACTATCTATTTCTTACCAATATAATTTAATTGCCTTTACCCAGGCTTTCAAATCACTCATTTATTCATTATGCTCCTACATGGCTCCCATGGTTATAGAGTTTACAGTCTATTAAATAAGTAATCACGATCAGGCAATTTCATGATTACCTGATGTAAAAAATGTGTAGTAAGTGCCATGATAAGGTAAATAAAGACTACTACAGAAGTATACAGAAGGAATACTGAGTGTAGGTAAAGGGAAGGAAAGCAGTAGTTAAGGAAAACTTTCTGGAAGAGATGTCTAACTGGGGACTTCAAAAACAAGAGGAAAATAAAAGGCAGCAAGAAAGAACATAAGCAAAGGTCTAGAGACAGGAGAGAATGGAATTAAAAGCTCAGAATGATAAACACAAAGTATGAGGAAGAATAGTGAGAGGATGAGAAGAGAGAAGGCTAAAGTGAATCAGCAGTGGCAGATTGTTAAAGGCCTTATAGTCAGAAGTTAAGGAGCTTAGATCTTATGTTAAGATCAACAAGGAGCACAGAAAGGTCTTAAGCCAAGATATACTATGATTAGCTTCTCATATTAGAAAGTGCATTCTGGCAACATTATGATAATGAACTGAGGCAAGGGAAATACCTGTTATGCCAGTTTCAGTGAGGTTATTGATTATGGCCTGAATTGGGGTAGTGGCAGCAAAGATGAAGAACAGACAAAATTAACACAATATTTAAAGGATAAAAGTCATTAGGATTTAATGTTTTCTGGATGTATGAGAGACAAGCGTATCACTCAGGTCTCTGGCATGTGTCACCTGTTAGATTCAATAATCCAGAGTCCATAGGAAGAGAAACAGATATAGAAGAATGGAGCAGAATTTGGAAGTAGGGAAAGCTTCAAACACATTGATTTTAGATGTCTATAAGATATTTAGGAGGAAATGTTGAATAGGGGGTTAAATATGCTCTCTGCATTTCTCTATGTATCCTATATATGTAGCGATGTCTGGAGATTACTGATTATTTTTATTCCCTGTTCATTCTAGTTATGGCAGGGACTGAGACCTTTCAGGAGAATATGTAGCACTAGAAGAGGGAATAGGATACCATCATTTGAAATAAAGCCAAAGGAATCTTTAAAAACATAAGCAGAATGAGAGGGAAAATCAGAACAGAATGTTACAAAAGAAGAAAGGAAGGGAGTACTTCAAGAAAAGAGTGATTAACAACATCAAGTGCAACAGACATTAAAAAGGAAGAGGGCTGACAAGTATCCTCTAGGTTTAGCAGTGAGAAAGTCATTAAGGTGGTTTCAGTGAAATGGTAGTATTTGAGGTAGATTGATGAATGACTGAAATATTATAAAACATGTAAGTACAGACTATACAAAAGGCTTGACTATGAAAGGGAAGAGAAAAAGCAATAGTGGAGAAAGGGATAGGGTTAAGAGGGAAGATTTTTTTCCCCTTGTTTTTAAATAAAGCTTAAAAATAGATTTGAGTATGGTTAAAGTACACATTGAAAATAACTAATATAGTGGAAGAGATTAAAGATAAGGAGAGAAGGGAAATTGATATTGCTAGGTCCTTGGAAAGTTAGAATGAGATGAAATTTAAAGTACAGATGAAAGATGATTCTCAAATAGGAGAAGGCACAGTATATCTCTGCATTTGTGAATAGAGGTAAGTTTTGAGGATTGATTTTAGGAACTTGGGTGAATTCTCCTCTGATAAAACTGTATTTTTTTTCTGTGTGACATAACTGTAAGTTATTTCAGAGGATTAGGATAAAGTAGTATACTACGTTAGATGTTTGAAGACATCTTGTTTGATGTCTTCATAGCAGTATACTATGTTAGATGTTTGAAGGTTTAAAAGGCCACTGAGATTACTGAAAATAAAAAAGAGGTGACTAGATTTATACAAAAGTTTTCTGGCCAGTGTTGAAAGCCTACTTGACGTTAGAGATCAGGATAGTCTCCAATAAATAATAAAAATAACTAAGAAGTCAATATATGGCAGCAATGAGACGATATAGAAGGTGGAACAGCCCCATAAGGGATTTTTAAGATAAGTTATCATGTTTTAGTATAAAATGAGAAATTTGATTGTGAATCTCAGCTACCATATATGTGATCTTGGGCAAGTTACTTAGCTTCTCTCAAAGCTTCAATTTCATTACCTATAAAATAAAGACACTTCCTCTCATTGTTGTGAAATTACATGATACAATACATGTCAATGGCTTAGCATGATGCCCAGCACACAGTACATCCTCAATAAATGTTAAATGTTTCAATAAAATATTTAAGGATAAGATTTTAGGATATCAGAGTTTATTTTACATGAAATAGGTGTTATAGAGGGCAAACTGGAAAGGTCTGGAAGAGAAGGAAATAGGAAACTGAGTTTAAAGAGAAAAATACGGAGTATTATAGAGATAAAAGACCAGACCATTGGAACAGCTTAATTAGATTTGGTCTTAATTTGGTTTTAGATAATGACCAAAGATAACGAGGAGGTAAAGCATGATAGATTTGGCTGGCCATAAAGTTAAACAAACAAAAATCCTAGGAGTGGATTACAGGTATACAGCCTAGTCTTTACACACTATTGTTCTGGGGACTGGTATAAGGGTCCTTAAGCCTTACAGTGTGAATTCTCCAAGTAGGTAGTTGAAGCAAGAGATCCAGGGGAAGAAGGCCAAACTTACCTTCTCACTAGTCCTAAATATGTACTCTCTCTACTTTAGAAGGACCTAGTTATTACATAGGCATACTCTGTTGATATCCTCTATTGTGTACTGATTGTTTTCCATATGAGCAATTTTTTTTCTTCATCACTCCTTTCTACCCATACTTTGATTCAATTTAAGTCTTTTTCATACTCCTTATATCGGCATGTTATATATGTACTGTTCATGGTTATTCCATATGCAACCAATATCCAGAGATTTATCTTGCCTAACAGTGCTGAACACATTGTAAGAGCTTAAATGCTTCAGGACTAAAGATCAGGTGGTTCTACTAAAGGACTGCACTGATATCAGTTGTCCTATTTCAGTCCTTTAACAAAGTTCTACTACTCTAAAGTAAGTTTAGTAGAATATCAAATATAGTAACACAAAACAGCGATTGGCAAAATTTTTCTTAAGGAATCAGAAAGCAAGTATTTTAGGCCTTGTGATTCATACAGTTTCTGTTACAACTAATCAACACTGTACTTGTGGCACAAAAGAAGCTGTAGACAATGTGCACATGAATAAGCACGGCTGTATTCTAATAAAATTTTATTTACAAAAATAGGTGACCAGCTAGCAGGCCAATTCCTGCATAGAAAAAAGCTCAGAATTTTTAATTTCTTTTTGAGACAGGGTTTCGCTCTATCACCCAGGCTGGAGTCCAGTGGCATGATCACTGCAGCTTTAACCTCCTTTGCTCAATCACTCCTCCCACCTCAGCCTCCTGAGTAGCTGGGACTACAGGTACATGCCACCACACCCAGTTAATTTTTGTATTTTTTTGTAGAAACAGGGTTTTGCCATGTTGCCCAGGCTGGTTAGCTCAGAATTTATTGCATGATGTAGAAGAATAATATAGCTTAGCAAATTCAGAAAGGTTGAAGATGACTGACAAGAAATACTATAATATTCTGTGAGGACTATTAAGAGTGCTTAGTTTTTGCTATTACAGGAAATAATATGATTTAAAATTATGAAAAGTGTGGTGAACACATTCTAAGGTGGTCCCTATGATTCCTGTCTCCTGGTATTCATGCCTTTGTGTATCTCTTCCCCTTGATTGCAGCAGAATGTGGAACTTGCTTCTAACCAAGAGATTATGGCAAAGATGATGGGATGTCATTTCTGTTATGAAAACCTATAACATTTTGCTGAGGGACATTCTCTCTTCTTGGTTTTGAAGGAATAAGACACCATCTTGTGAGATGCCCTATGGAGAGGGCAGCCTCTGGCTGCCAATCAGCAAGGAGCTGAATGTTGTAAACAACCACGAGCTTGAAAGCAGATAGTTCCCTTGTCAAGCCTTCAGATGAGAACTCAGCCCTGGCTGACACCTATATTGTAGGCTTGCTGAGGACTCCGTGGGAGTGTGCTTAGATTCCTGACCTACAGAAACTATGAGATAAATAAATCTATGTTGTTTATAAACTGTAAAATTTGTGTTAATATTGTTACACAGAAAAAAGTAATATAAAAGTACACTGATAATAGGTTTAATTATCCAAAAGTGTATCATTTATCTCCCATATCTAGAACTAAAATTACATAATTAATGTAAAAGATTATTTTAAAAAAACACATTGATAAATGTCACCTATTATTTTAATAGGTGACAACTTCTATTAAACCTTTTTGATGCTCAGTATCTTTACAAATAAAGATCCTTTATTTAAAGAGACTGTGTAAACTCTAAATATTTATGCTATCAATTAACTTTTGAAACTTTTAAGGTGTTCCAAATTTACCAATGTAACAGACTGTCAGAAAGTAATATAGATAAAACATCTCAAAGCCTATTCCAGTACTTAAGCATTAAACATTTTAAGAAAAATCTATCTTTGATTTTAAAATCAAATTTTACCTTTGATTTTAAAATCAATTTTTGATTTTATTAATTGACAACCATCTTAAATTTTTAAAGTACACAGTGGGGTCCCTTAGTTCTTCAATTTATTCCTCAGAGAATTTCCTTTCATCTGTTCACATGTATTTATTTTGCTATATTCAGAAGGTCTAGAGTGGACTTATTTTAGGTTTTTCTGGCAGTGCTCATTAGCTCTAGTTTCCATAGTTAAATTGCTACTGAAGCTGTAAATACAGTACTCTGAAAGCCCACACTCATGCACAGGTATGCTTCTACATAAAACTGCCTTGGTAAATGAATAAACTATTTCACGAGAAAATGGTTAAAAAGTTGGAAATCTATAGTAAAATGTTATTAATGTAAATAATCTTCATGTTTTAATTTTCTCTTACTTCTGGAATTTAAAGTTTTTCAGTGATGAGCAATATAGTAATACCATAGGCTCCTAAACACTGAACTAAAATCCTTGTATTTTTATATTTTGAAACTATGCTTCCATATCTTCAAGTGGATTTAATTCATTGTACAAGTCACATAGACTTGGGAATGAAGAAAAGTAGAGAACTGGGGCCAGATGCAGTGGCTCACACCAATCATCCCAGCACTCTGCGGGCTGAGGCAGGAGGACTGCTTGAGGCCTGAAGTTTAAGAACAGCCTGGGCAGTATAACAAGGCCCTATCTCTACCAAAAAAAAAAAAATTAATAAATAAAAAATTAGCAGGGCATGGTGGTGTGAGTGCTGTCCCAGCTACTCAGGAGACTGAGAAGGGAGGACTACTTAAGCCCAGGAGTTGGAGGCTGCAGTGAGCTACGATCATGCTGTTGCAGTCCACCTTGGGAAACAGAGCAAGACTCATCTCTTAAAAAAAAAAAAAAAAAGTGGAGAACTTCATCTGCTAATCTAATCTAATTGGACTGGTAAATATTAAAATGTTTGATAACATACAAGTGTTGTCAAGGGTGAGATTAGGGTGAACTGATATAATTGTTGGCTGAAGCATATGACAGTATAACCTTTTGGGAGAGCAATCTAATAATAGCTACAAAATTTAACATGCTGCAATGAAGCAAGTCTATATCTTACAGTTTATTCTAGAATATTTACATATGTGTGCAAAGGTTATACACAAGATTATGCACAATAGCATTGTTAGTAATAGAAAAAGATGGAATTAATTTAAATTTTTCAGTAGAGAACTATTACAATAAATTATGGCACATCTATATAATCAAATCCTATGCAGTTGTTAACAAAAATGAAGTAGTACATCTATATAAATGTACATAAATTGAGGTCTAAGATGTATTAAATAGATAAAGCAAGGTGTGAAATGTTCCCATGTATATTACTTACATGGCAATATTTGGGTGGAATACCCAGGACACTATAATTTCAAGGAACGGAGGCTGAGGATCCGAAAAAGCAACCTAATTTTCTTTACACACCGTTTTGTATTTTATGTATTTATACCAAACATGTAAATAATTTTCTCAATAGACACCTTCAGACATTCTTTATTTACCATAAGATATAGTCTTAAAAATGTAACTGAGATAATCATTTCTAGAATTTCTTGATCACAGGTTATTTTTCTCTCTTACATGTAATGTTAGGAATAATTCTGTCTTAAACAGTACTTTAATGACTCATGGGTGACATAAGTATCTCATAAGACATATTTTACTTAGCTTTTATTAAAAATTGTCTACTATCTGGATACTCAGGCACTAAACTCTAGGCAAATTTCCAGAAGATTATATTGTATTGATGTAAGTAAATGACTGGTAAGAAGTTGGCAGGTACTTCACAGCCAAGAGCCAACAGGGAAATCAATGGCTGAGTTGAGAGAACACAGGACCAAAATGATTAAATGGCATAATTTAAGTAAACTAATATATTACATTTTTAATAGCAATATGCTACAACTATATAAACTGATCTAACAAATACTGTACAACTGAAGATGTTTTTAACCACTCCCTGTATATTGATTTATATTTTAAAGACAAAACTTTTTGACTGGAATGGAGAAATGCTGATCATGTGAAATAAGGATTTTTACAGTGCTGCAACTTTGATCCTTATTGTGCATGAATTTATCAAGGATTCCTTCATGTTGAGAAATTTGAAAATCCATTAAAAGAAAAAATCTCCATAAATGTGAGTTTTACTTTACTACTTGAAACTGCAATAATCTAAAAAGGGATGTAATTCCTATTTTACTGTTTATTGCTATTAAACAAAACATGTGAGAAAACTTTAGAGCATAGTTACAAAAAAAATGGGTTTTGGAATCACACAGAATTCAAGTCCTGGTTATCAGATTAACTATGGAATAGTGGGAAAACTACCCCATCCTTGTGAGCCTCATTTCCTCATGTATAAAAGGGAGATAACATGAAGTATATTTAGTATCTTCTGAGGTTGTTGTATTAAGCTAAAAAAAAAAAACATAATGCACTTTGCATAATGTATGACCAACAGTAAGAGTTAAATAAAAGGCAGCTCTCACTACTAATATTATTACTCTTTAATTATCCAGCATAGATGAGGAATAAAATGTTCTATATAACGTTTTCCTTTACTAGACAAATTCTTACGTACATGCCAAATTTTAAGCATCACCACTTTGTATTTTACTCACTCTTGGGGAAAATTCTTCCAAAATACTTTTTTTGTTACCTTAGGGGTCAATAAATAGAAACTAACCTTTTTGGTGCCTGGTACTAATAACTCTGTCTAGATTAACATATTTATTTTATAGTCCCAGTATGGTGATTTCAGGTCATATTACATTTGGAATACTGTATTTAGGTCGGGGCATGATTCAGGAGAAAATGAATGCCAGACTAGAAGGTGCATAAAAAGAATAATCAGAACAGTGAGGTGTGTGAAAACCCTAACATATAAAACCAGGTTAAGGAATGATGTCCATTTAGTTTGGAGAATATTTGAGATGAAAAAATAGGTATTTTCAAATATTTTAAGGGTGTCACGTGAAAAACTACGTAAATTTATATTATATCAGAGGACAAAAGTAGGAACAATAGATATGTTACAGATACATGAATTAAATATTAATATGGCTGCTTTGATTATATAACTGACAAGGTTTATTTCAATTCCAAGATTCTGTGACCTATATATACTAAAAAAGAAGGAAGGCAATTATGGTTATATACTTAAATTAGGACTCTTGCCACTTTAAAGATGAACTAAAATATGATTTACTACTTTGTTACTTTTGTTTCAATAAAAAGATAATGATAAAATGATATGATATATACGATGGACTTGGTATTTCAATTTCCCAAATTGATCCCTGTAATAATCCCACTTTAAATACTGAGGTTCTCCAAAAAAATCAATTCACATTAATTTTAGTCTTTTTAAAAAAATGGAGCACAATGAACTATGAACATTTTTAAGTTATAAGAGCTACATGTTCAGATATATTTGCCTAATTTATTTCAAGTTCAGCTCAACATTAGAATTTAAAATAGAACTTAAGTCAATTCCTCTCTAATTTATCTTAACTTCTGTCGTGTTAGTGATTTAAATAATTTTGGAATGGGAATTGGATAAAATGATTATGCACAACAGAAAACAATGATAGAGGAGAGCAAAGCATGTATTTTGTACTAACCAATTAGAAGAACTGTTCCAACGGCTAAACCTCCACCTGGAAATGAAACAAAACCAGAAGAAAATTAATTTACCTTTTCCATTACCTTTAGCATAAAAGTTAGGCTTTATGAAGGAAAGGCACTTCAATAACTTTAAAACAGTAGTTGTGAACAACATTTTAATTACCTTTGCAATACTTTGCTCAAGGTGCTATTATGAAATAATTACATATTATATGTAATTACATACTACACATTACAATTACTTTTTTTTTTTTTTTTGAGATGGAGTCTTGCTCTGTTGATCACGCTGGAGTGCAGTGGCACAATCTCCTCTCAGCTCACTGCAACCTCCCCATCCTGGGTTCAAGCAATTCTCCTGCCTCAGCCTCCTGAGTAGCTGGGATTACAGGTGCCCACTACCACGCCTGGCTAATTTTTGTATTTTTAGCAGAGATGGAGTTTTACCATGTTGGTCAGGCTGGTCTCGAACTCCTGACCTCACGTGATCCACCTGCCTTGGGCTCCCAAAGTGCTGGGATTACAGGCGTGAGCCAGTGAGCCACCAGGCCCGGCCTAAAATTACTACCATAATATACTGTACTATCCTCCTTTCTTCTATGATAGAACCACACAGCATTCAACCTAACTGTGGTTAAGGACTCCAATAATGTTATATTTAGCACTTGTTAATAAATTAACTCAATACTCAAGACTTAAATGTGTACAGTAACTTAACTACTACAGAAGTACAACAAAGATTATTATAGAAATTCCACATTAATATTTATCTTCAAATTTAGTAAGACTGAGTAAAGATCTGATAATTAAAGTTAATTCTTTTTTATTATGAATAATATACACAAAGTCTGGACATGCTCTAAATATATTTACAATTTAAAAGGAATGTATTTGCCATTTCAAACAAAAAAAGAATATCATCACAAAATACATTTTCGGTATTACTAGACTAGTGTTCTTTTAAATATCTGAATTAGGCCGGGCACAGTGGCTCAGGCCTGTAATCTTAGCACTTTGGGAGGCTGAAGTGGGCGGATCACTTGAGGTCAGGAGTTCAAAACCAGCCTGGACAACATGGTGAAACCCTGTCTGTACTAAAAATACAAAAAAAATAATCTGCATGTGGTGGTGCATGCCTATAATCCCAGCTACTCAGGAGGCTGAGAAACGGGAATTTTTTTTTTTTTTTTTTTTTGAGACAGAGTCTCACTCTGTCACCCAGGCTAGAGTGCATTGGCACAATCTCGGCTCACTGCAACCTCTGCCTCCCGGGTTCAAGTGATTCTCCTGCCTCAGCCTCCCAAGTAGCTGGGATTACAGGCACCCACCACTACACCCAGCTAATTTTTTGTACTTTTAGTAGAGACGGGGTTTCACTATGTTGCCAAGGCTGGTCTCGAACTCCTGACCTCGTGATTCACCTGCCTGGACTTCCCAAAGTGGTGAGATTACAGGTGTGAGCCACCGTGCCCAGCCTGAGACACGAGAATTTTTTGAACCTGGAAGGCAAGATTGCCGTGAGTTGAGATTGCACCACTGCACTCCAGCCTGGCCAACAGAGTGAGACTCTGTTTCAGAAAAAAAAAAAAAAAAAAATCTGAACTATGGTAATATAATCATGAAATATGTGAAATATATAATTCAAATGGTGAATCATTAAAAATCAATTTAAAAATTAATTTTATGGCTAGGTGCAGTTGCACACGCCTGTAATCCCAGCACTTTGGGAGGCTGAGGCGGGCGGATCACCTGAAGTCAGGAGTTCGAGACCAGCCTGACCAACATAGTGAAACGCCGTCTCTACTAAAAATACAAAAGTGGATGGGCGTGGTGGCCCATGCCTGTAATCCCAGCTACGCAGGAGGCTGAGGCAGGAGAATCGCTTGAACCAGGAAGGTGGAGGTCGCACTGAGCCGAGATTGCACCATTGCACTCCAGCCTGGGCAACAAGAGCGAAACTCTGTCTCAAAAAAAAAAAAAAGAAAAAAAAGAATTAAAGAAATTAGCACTACACTAAGACATTTGAGTACTTATACTTTGCTCTTCACTCCATTTGTAAAACTATTGCCATTTTGATTAATGTCTCAAACACAAATTCACTTAAAATTTTAAAAAATGAGTATCAAAGAGTAGAAATGTATTTAAAGTATAATTTTTAAAATACTCAAAGTTGGGCCGGGTGCGGTGGCTCACGACTGTAATCCCAGCACTTTGGGAGGCCAATACGGGTGGATCATGAGGTCAGGAGCTCGAGACCAGCCTGGCCAACATAGTGAAATCCAGTCTCTACTAAAAATACAAAAAAAATTAGCTGGGCGCGGTGGCTGCCGCCTGTAGTCCCAGCTACTTGGGAGGCTGAGGCAGGAGAATTGCTTGAACCCAGGAGGGGGAGGTTGCAGGGAGCTGAGATCGCGCCACTGCACTCCAGCCTAGGTGACAGAGTGAGACTCCATTAAAAAAAAAAATTACTCAAAGTTGTTGGACAACTGGAGTCAATGTTAATTGTTTGTTTTTTGTATACAAATCTGAAAGAAATATTTAGAACACTAATAAAGAACTTTCCACAAAAAAGTTTTGTAGTCACATTTGTCATACAGAAAAACTTAGTAACAAAAGTTCCTTTGATAGGTTGGGCACGGTGGCTCACACCTGCAATCCCAGCACTTTGGAAGGCCGAGGCAGGCAGATCACATAAGCTCAGGTGTTCGAGACCATCCTGGCCAACAAGGTGAAACCCTGTTAGCCAGATGTGGTGGCCCGCTCCTGTAATCCCAGCTATTCGGGGGAGCTGAGGCAGGAGAATCACTTGAACCCAGGAGTCATAGGTTGCAGTGAGTTGAGATCATGCCACTGCACTCCAACCTGGGCCACATAGCAAGACTCTGTCTCAAAAAAAAAAAAAGTTCCTTTGATAGTGTTTATTTTTTGCCTTGCAAAAAAGCATAACTATTATGTGTTAAACAGTTTGAAATCTGGTAACATACATGCGCCTAGAATAATATGCAACATGAGACTTGTGCTAAGCGATTTACAGTGAGGCTAAACATCAATTTCATGACAATATGTAGAACATTTCAAACTCTTAGGGAAGGAAATAATGAAAAAACCTAGTATATTTAAATGTTTTAATGTTTAAGTTTATATATTTACAAGACTTTATATTTTAAGTTCACATTCAGACAGGTTCCTTCATATAGCATTTAAAGTCGCAACAGACTACATAGGATAACTTTTATCTTCAGATGAAAAGATAAACATAAGCTGAAATGTACATCATGATAGCCATCAAAAAGGATCAGGTCCGGGTGCAGTGGCTCACGGCTATAATCCCAGCATTTTGGAAGGCCAAGGTGAGCAGATCACTTCAGCTCAAGAGTTTGAGACAAGCCTGGACAAAATGGCAAAACTCCATCTCTACAAAAAATACAAAAATTAGCAAGGCGTGCTGCCACCTGTAGTCCCAGCTACTTGGGGAGCTGTGGAAGGAGGATCAATTGAGCATGGGAAGTTATGGCTGCAGTGAGCAGCGTTCGCACCACTGCACTCCAGCCAGGGTAACAATGTGAGACCCAGTCTCAAACAAACAAATGGATCAGAACAAAGGGTTTGCTTTGGGATAAGATTAGACTAAATGTTTAATTTCATAGTGCCACACTAATGTTATAATTCATTTGAACATCTTATATCACACTTCCTTACTTTCCTACTTTCCCTTAAATGCAGAAATAAACATTTAATTACCCAATAGCCTTTTTCTGTACATATAAGGAGATGAATTGATATAAGCATACAAGAGACATTATGGTGTCTAAGCTAGAGCAGGCACTATTAAAAAGTTTCTTACTTTAACCTATTTCCTATAGGGAGGATTTAGGTTTCTTATCTAACCTCCTGAGTTACACTTACATCTCCTCAAATAAGGAATTTATATAAGGCCTCCACTGGGACAGACAGAGAAGCAAAGATTTTTTATTTTTTGAGACCGAGTCTTGCTATGTCCTCCAGGCTGGAGTGCAGTGGTGCAATCTCAGCTCACTGCAAGCTCCGCCTCCTGGTTTCACCCCCCATTCTCCTGCCTCTGCCTCCCAAGTAACTGGGACTACAGGCACCTCCCACTACACCCGGCAAATTTTTTTGTATTTTTAGTAGCGACGGGGTTTCACCGTGTTAGCCAGGATGGTCTCAATCTCCTGACCTCGTGATCCGCCCGCCTCGGCCTCCCAATGTGCTGGGATTACAGGCGTGAGCCACTGCGCCCAGCCAGAAGTAAAGATTTTTTAACATTCACTATGGGACAATGAGAACAGATCACATAACAGTTTTCCAATTACATGAAGTGATTACCAAGTAGAGGTATCTGGCCCAGAAAGGTACTCAGAAAGAGCTACCTTTACCATTTTGGCAATTCCTTTTTTTTGTGGGGGGTGGGGACAGGGTGTCGCTGTGTTGCTCAGACTGGAGTGCAGTGGTGCAATCATGGTTCACTGCAGCTCGAACCTCCCAGGCTCAAGGGTCCTCCCATCTCAGCCTCTGAAATAGTTGGGATTATAGGAACATGTAACCATGACTGGCTAATTCTTTTTCTTTTTTAATTCTTTGATTCTTTGTAGAGATGGGGTCTCACTATATTGCCCAGGCTGGTTTTGAACTCCTGGGCTCAAACTAGCCTCCAGCCTTGGCCTCCCAAAGTGTTGAGATTACAGGCATGAGTGACCACATAACCTAAAAAATCTTATGTGTATTAAAATTCTAATGTTTAGAAAATTTGAACATTAAGACATAATGGGGACATATTAAAATCATTTTTATCACCAAATATCTTCTCAAACTTCTTTTACAAAAAGGTAAGAAGGTTCTATCATGTAAATTCACTAGATTCACATTTAGATTGGCTGTAGTAAAGTTTGGTCACTGTGAAGGATAGTTGTGGGGAATAAGATGTAACTCATTAACTAATTTAAACTTATTAACTAAAGCTTTTAAAAATCAAGCTTTTACTCTATGTGTTTTAAGAGGAATAATTTGGACCTATACATATATATATATATATATATATACACACACACACACACACACACACACACACACATGCATACAGCAGCAAAATTTCTCTATTCTTCTAAACTTGAGTTTAGTGAGACATGATCTCAAAACATTTCCACAAGATACCTTTGTATAAGGTATTTTGATGTCTCTTACTTGATAAATGGAAGGTCTAGCTGTATTTTAACTTAAAAGTTTGAATGTTTGTAGCCATGCTCCAACCAAAAAATAAATAAATAAAAAGCTAAAACAACCAACCAATCACAACAGAGTATCCTGACATATTCTTTGAAGGCTGGCTTTTAATTTACTTTTAAATTTAGTAATCCATTAGTAATTTTATCTAATTCCAAAAGCAACATAGACCTCACACTAATAGTTACCAATTAAAACTGAAATATCTTTTCCCAATACAATGTATTACAGATAAGTAATAGGGTAAGCAAACAATCATCTTATTTTTATAATGAAAACAGGCAAGAAAGTAGTAAAACGGCCTTGTTTACTATTTCCTCTCCCCTTTCATCCTAACTTAGAAAAATTACCAACACACTTTCTAAGTCACTAAGCAAAATAAATTCTTCTTTTTTTGAGATGGGGTCTCACTGTCACCCAGGCTGGAGTATAGTGGTGTGATCACTGCTCACTGCAGACTTGAACTCCCCAGGCTCAGGGCTTCTCCCCCATCAGCCTCCTGAGTAGCTGGGACTACAGGTGTGCACCACCAAGCTTGGGTGATTTTTGTATTTTCTGAAGAGCCAGGGTCTCTCTATGTTGCCCAGGCTTGTCTCAAACTCCCAGGCTCAAGCAATCCACCCATCTTGGCTTCCCAAAGTGCTGGGATTATAAGTGTGAGCTACCACACCTGGCCAGCAAATAAACTCTTGTTTTTACTTCTAGATGTCTTTAAGATGTATACTTATTTCCATCTTACTAAAAATAAAAGTAGAGTACTTTATGTACACAAAAGAATACAAGAGGTTGAAAGGTTAAAGAATCATGACTACTCTTCAATAATTATGACACAATTATTGGCTGGGCAAACATGAGAATCAAAATAAAGGTTTGAAAGGTTAAAGATACTCAGCAAGCTTGATATTTTAGACAATTAATTTCATCAAGATTTCACATATTTTAAAAATAGGCATTTTTTCTTAAAACCAGAAAAGATATTTAATACTTAAGAAATAATATTAGAAAATTTAAGATCTTGCAAATGCCAGTATCTTCCACGATTTTCAAAATCATAAGACAACGAAAGGGCTTTTGTTGTTATTTCAATTCATGCAGTAGTAAGACAATTACATTAGTACTATTAATATTTTAAAGGAACAACATTCAATCCCCATACTCTCCCCAATAGAAACCTCTGACTAAGCTATACATTTTGGGTAAATGAGGTCAAATTAATACACTAGAATATGAAAGCCTTTCTTCAATGTTAGAGAAAGTAAAAGGGAAAAGAAATGAAAGTCAAGAAAGATAACAGTGATTTATGCCAGTCCTTTCCAGACCTCTATATAAAGGAATAATTTTGCTTAAAATTACAAAAAAGTATTTCTGGGAAAATGCAATGTAAAAAACAAGTTCATATTCTTTCCTTGGTTCATAGTAATAGCCTTAACTACTTAATTAATGCTGGATCTCAAATTTAATTGCAGTTATTTTGATAACAACTCTACTTTTTCTTCCCCAAGCATTATAAAACATAGTGACTACTCTTCATTATGACACAATTATTAGCTGGACAAACATGAGAATCAAAATAAAGCTAGGAACTGTGAATAGTTCTATAGATTAAGTCACATGAAATAATTTTACATAGCAATAAAAAATACATTTTTCTTAAATATACAGCTAATTATATTGGTTGGTAAAATATCATAACCAAGATTGTGTTAAATATGTAGTCCAAGCTCAATGTATATTATCCCATGCTACACATTAACATAATAAAGGAAATAAGCCCACTAGTGTTTACTTTTTGACATCAATGTTAAAAAATGGCTGTTACCATTAAGCTTCTTTCAGGGTACTCTTCCTAGACTATTATTTACCTCAAATCCCTATCTGACATTCCCTTCACTATCAAAATTTAACAGCACAGAGGTCAAATCTGCAGTTACCCTTCCTTTAAGCATTTTTCTGGAGGATGAAGTTGTGGTTAATTCTTCCAGGTTAGATATATGGTTCTATGATGGAGTATATACCTTTTACAGGGAATGGGGTTGGGTGGGCGGGGCGGGGGAGGGGGGGCGGAGGGCAGGGGGCATTTCTGCCAGAATTCTTTAGTTGCTATAATCTTTCTTTGGAAACCCCTGGAAGAGAAATGGAGTACCTCTTCAATCGATGGAATATCTATCTTTCCTTTTCCAAAATATAAGTGTTATTTACATACAGTGTCCTCAAATAACAATATAAATATCCCAGAAGGGCAAGGTTGAGAACATGGGTTAGATAATCTGGGAATTTAAACAATTTTAATGTAGCTAACTTGGGAAATGTATATCAATATCTCATAATACAATTAGGTTGTCAGAACAAAAACATTATATATTAGGTCATTTGAAAAATGCAGATATTGAAAATTTTCAAATTCATGAAATGCTTTGGAATAAGTAATGGAATTATCAGTGTATCATCAAATGACTAACAATTAGCATGTATGATGCCTTTCAAATATATTTTGCATCCATGTTTAAAATTACAATGACGTCACGGTGGCAGTAGTAAAATGTCACCGTACTACACGGAAGCTATAATATTTACTTGTTACACAGTAACCACATAATATATTCAGGCAATAATCACAATATTACAGTATAGTTTTACCGTTCTAACACCATAACATCCTATTATCATTACCTTTTGTCACAATATAGTCATATTAGGCTTGTCGCAACTTGAGTCAAATAACATTTTCAAGTAATAACATAGTCTAAACTGCTTATACAGAAAATCAGATACAAAAATGTCATTAAGAGGTTAAAACTAAAATACTTCTGGACATATTTATTTTTCAAGATGTAGTCAATTCTATTATAACCTCTTCAACTTTTGTGCACTTTGAGAATTCACTGCATACATGCAAAATATATTTCAAAGTATTCAACAACCAATACTGTTTCTACCATCTTAATGAACAGTAATTTTTAGCATAAGCTTGTTACACTTAAATACCCTACTCGAGTCTCCCATTCCAAGCAAATACGGAAACTTTAAAAATTACTGTTCAAGTTTGTATCTCTGAAGAAACACGTATAGAAGGTGCTTTGGGTTCTCTTTTTGGTGGGTACTTTAAGAGACGATAGTTAAATCATTAATCCGAGGTTCAATAAATGGTCAAAACCCCTGGAAAGAATACGTAAAAATTTCAGACAGCGGTAGCCTAGTGCAAAGAGCACTAAATTTGAAGCCTAACAATCAGTACACATGGTCACTGGTTTTGTGAGACTGTTCATATCACTTAATTTGTTTTTAGAGCTCAAACATGAAACTCCATTCTACATGTTTCATAATTTCTTGTCTCAGTTTTTTTCTACACATTATTTTTCTTGTATTCAACAACTTACTGAGAATCTACTAAGTGCCAGGAGGTACACTAGGAACATTTTGTTATTCTAATGAGGAACTGAAGACATTATAATAGAAACATAACCTTTTTGTTTGGAAAGTTTTAGTATCAAGTAAATGAAGTTACATATCCCATTGAATTAAAAAATATATAAGGCCTAGAAATAGCTACCAAACTTAAAGTTCAAATGTAAGAGGATATCAACTGAGGCTCACAAGGGAAAAACGGTGGACTATATATTTGCTAACTAGATATTTTGAATCACTTCTATTTACAGTACCATGCAACTCAGGAGGAAAATATATTTGAAACAATTAAGTGAAAAATACTTAAACTTATCTAGAAATAACCGGAAAATGAAATGAGAGAATCAAGAAGCCATACTCTTTCTCATAGGTTGCTGGTCTTCTTACTTTCTCTGCACTAAACCTATGAAAAGCCTACTTTGAGGGGAAAATAACCGAAAGAAATGTCAAACGAAGTACAAGAACAAGCAATGAGTTATATTTTATGAAAGTGTACAAGATTTAACAGACACATATCACACACTATGAAAAAAGTTATGTAAACACAGACGGGGTTTTAATGAAACAGCATTCAGAAATTAATCTAGAAGCTTTATTAACACAGCAAATCTGTCCTACCAACTTAATCTGGTCATTCCTTTGAATATAACAGTTATGAAACAAGCATATTCTTCAGCAGGCTTCTCATAAAAAATTCCAGAGATTTTAAAGGAAAGCCTAAGAACTAGACTTTTCTCGTTAAAATGTGAGTTAAATTTAAAGATGTCGTATGGAATGTAGCAGCAATCAATACTGGGAAGCAAAATGTATATAGAAAAAATAAAAAATATATACACAGATTTAACGCAGACACTATCTAAATATCAACGACAGGCTCAAAATACTTTATAAGGATTATGTGTCAACATAAGCCTTTAACATTCGCTCTCTTAAAGCCAAAATGTTTTAAGATTTAGAACCAGAGAACAGGCAGTCTGACGGTCAAAGAGGGGAAATCATTTTTTTCCAGCATCTTCTAATGAAGTCTGTCTCTCACAATTATAAAAACTTTTGCAGGCTGGTCTAAACCGTGAGCTGCCTGGAGAAAGCAGAAGGGAGGTATCCTGAATGAAAGCCAAACCATCTCCATAAATTAATGTCTTCCCTTGACTAGAAAGCATTTCAGGGTAAAAAGCATGTACGAATTCCTCCGTAATATGAAAAGGGGTTGGAGGGCAGGGAATGAAATAGAGAGCGAGGGCACTAAAACATGTTTAGTTAACAGCGCTCAGAAGTCTCCACACAACCCGTATTCCCCTCCATCTCAATCAGACCAGGCTATTCTCTCCTCCTCCGAAGGTTTAGGGGTCAGAAAGAGATGTGGGGTCAAAGTGGCTTCCCCGACAGGTCCCCTCCCTAAGTTTCCCCTCGGCTGAGCCCAGATCTCCGCTCTGAACCGACCTAAGAGCTGGTCTAGGGCTGGGAGCCCGGTTGATACCAGCAGCTGTCCATTCCGCACCGACGGTCGCGTGCCCGCAATGGACACCAGTCGAGGGCCGCTGTCGTTGGTCACGCTGGCTCTAGGACCCCTCCTCTGGAAACTGGTGACGTTGCTCTTGCTGGCTGTCGCCACTGCAGACCCAGTACTCGCGGCAACACTACCGCAGGTTGCCACTGCCGCCATCTTAGAGCCTCCAGTGTTAACCCAATAGGAACTCTGGGAACGCAAACACCCGTCCTATCAGAACCAGTGCCAAACTCCCGCCTCCTCGCCCCAACCGCGGCTCTCGTAACCAATAGGACTGAGACGTCAGTCCCGAGCCAACCAATCGGAAGGCGTATTGCTGAAAAGTGCGCCCTACGAAAGGACGGTCGACTTCGGCGGGGCCCAGGTGAGAAAGGCCCACCTGTGTCCTGGTTGAGGGTCTCCAGGGTTCTTTGGGGCCCGAGGTAGGTAATATCACGTAACGTTCTTCTCCTTTTGAGTGCCTTCATTCACATTGAGTTAAAGAAAAGGTTGGTGAAACAATAAACCCTTAGGGCTTATCAAGCAATTGCTAGCACCTTTCTCCGCTGTGTGTGAGGATAGACTTTTTTCCTGCTCATTTATCTTCTGATTTCTGATAGAAAATTCACTCCGCCTTCCCCACGATGTCTTTTTCTTAATTTTGTGTTATATGGAAAGGATGGGATCTCTTACCTTAATGAGTTGGTTGCTGAGCGTCTGGGCTTAGTTCGTTAGTGCCTAGTGGTAGGTGGTTTGGAATTAAACCTTAGAGCGAAAACTCTTGAACTTTGAGGCTATCTGGTTTTCCTGTGTCTGACAAACTATAGCTCTCTGACAAGTTCCGATAAGAAGCTTTTGTTAATTTTAATTAGTGTTTCTGGAAGTCTTGGATGTCTTTCCTAAGCGGTGTAAATGACAAGTGTTACTCTGACAACCTTGTTCACACATTTAATTGTCGTTTGCTGTTAAAGCAGCTGCAAATAACAGAAAATACTTAGGGTTTCTTTCCCCCAAAAAACTGCTAGGAAGAATTAGAAGTATACCTACTTTATTTTATGAACCCTGAATCGAGAGTTTATTACTAAAATACCAATTTTATGTGTGGAAAAAACATGTATTTTGAGTTGTATTTTTGTATTTAATTTTTTTTTCAAAACTGAGCAGGGACAGTGGGTAACTGATGTTTAAAGGCAATCATGATTGACAAATGTCTAAATTGAAAAGGACTCCCAAATCATTACCGCACTACTGAGTTATTGACTTTGACAGTGATCTGTGATACCTTTTAATTAGAGCCAAACCTCATTGAAATTCTTGCCATCGAATTGTTTTAAATCTCACTGACCTGTTGAAATTTTTGGGCTGATTCTGTTTGATAAATTGAAATTAGTATTGCTAAATAGTGACTGGAGTTTTTCATTTGGGGAGGATTTTTGTTTGTTTGCTTGTTTTTTAGAATCATGTTTAGGAAAAAACCCTGTTTCACAATATATCAACTGGAAAGCTTTGATCAAGGTTGCTTTCATATTGAATCTTTAAGTTACTCAATAAATAGCTGTTGAGTGATTACTGTCTGTTTGGACTTAATCTTGTCATTTTAGACCTATGGTAATAAAAATGGTCTCACCTGGAGGAGATAAAATTAACACATAGAAAACAACATAGTACTTAAAATGAACACATTAAATAGCATGTGCTAATTTTATCCTGTAGTAAATAAGCACTAGGAAGACCAAAAGAAAAAGTGACAAAGCAGTCCAATATCAGATAGAAACGTCTTGAATTTTTTTTTTCTTCAACTTTTGTTTTAGGTTCTGGGCTTCATGTGCAGGTTTGTTACATAGGTAAACGTGTGCTGTGGTGGTTTGCTGCACAGATCAACCCACCACCTCGGTATTAAGCCCAGCATCCATTAGCTATTCTTCCTGATGCTCTCTGTCCCCCCACCCCTACAAATATTTTTGATGCTGTGAACTTTTTGAAATGCTACATATAATTATTATTTTTTGACAGATGGCATTGTTTTGTGTACCTCATGATGCTATGAAGTGTATGTACATTCCGGAATCGTTAAATCTAGCTAATTAGCAATGCATTACCTCACATAGTTATCATTTTTGTGGTAAGAGTACATAACATCTACACTGTTTACATTTTTTTAAAGAATACAATATATGATTATTAACTATAGTCAGCTTGCTATAAATTCATGTTATATAATAGATTTCTTGAAATTTATTCCTCCTATCTAACTGATATTATGTATCTTTGACCAAATTCTCCCCATCCCCCCTGCCAACCATCCTGGCCTCTGGTAAACACCATTGTACTCTCTGTGCGATGAACTATTAGATTCCACCTATGAGTAAGATCATGTGATATTTGTCTTTCTGTGTCTGACTTATTTCACTTAACATAATGGTATAATTCGTTTTTATAGGCTTCTGTATTACATATTCCCTTGTTTCCTACTGTATTTACTTAACCCTTTAGATTTCCCAAGATGATGATAGTGGTGCTTTGTTTGCCTCATTACTAGAACTGAAGAATTATTTTCCAACTTTGACTTGGACTATAATTCTGGAAAGATGATCTATATACACACCAGAGTATTCATGAAATTAGGATATATATCTGGTATAACACTATCGTAGGATAAATATGCTTTTGTTTTTTTTTTCTGAGACGGAGTCTAGGTGTGTTCCCCGGGCTGGAGTGCAGTGGCGCGATCTCGGCTCACTGCAAGCTGTGCCTTCCTGGGTTCACACCATTCTCCTGCCTCAGCCTCCCGAGTAGCTGGGACTACAGGCGCCCGTCACCACGCCCTGCTGATTTTTTGTATTTTTAGTAGAGATGGGGTTTCACCGTGTTAGCCAGGATGGTCTCAGTCTCCTGACCTCGTGATCCGCCCACCTCGGCCTCCCAAAGTGCTGGAATTACAGGTGTGAGCCAGCGCGTCAGCCAAATATGGGTTTTTTGTTTGTTTGTTTTTTGTTTTCTTTTTAGACGGAGTCTCGCTCTGTTGCCAGGCTGGAGTGCAGTGGCATGATCTCGGCTTACTGCAACCTCCGCCTCCTGGGTTCAAATGATCCTCCTGCCTCAGCCTCCTGAGTAGTTGGGACTACAGGCATGCACCACCATGCCCAGCTAATTTATGTATTTTGAGTAGAGACAGGCTTTCACCATGTTGGCCAGGATGGTCTCAATCTCTTGACCTTGTGATCCACCCGCCTCGGCTTCCCAAAGTGTTGAGATTACAGGTGTGAGCCACCGCGCCCAGCCGCCTTTTTTTTTTTTTTTTTTAACAAAGATAAAATCTTTGCTCCCAAATAATTTCAAATTCTTGAACTTACCAGCAAGTAGCAGAGTTGAATATAAAACACGAGAATAAATAAAGTATTCATGGAAAGGAAGAGTTAAAAGTTATATGTTGGCTGGGCACAGTGACTCATGCGTGTAATTCCAGCACTATGGGAGGACGAGGCGTGCAGATCACAAGGTCAGAAGATCGAGACCTTCCTGGCTAACATGGTGAAACCCCGTCTCTACTAAAAAATACAAAAAAATTAGCTGGGCATGGTGGCGGGCTTCTGTGGTCCCAGCTGCTCAGGAGGCTGAGGCAGGAGAATGGGGTGAACCCGGGAGGCAGAGCTTGCAGTGAGCCGAGATTGCGCCACTGCACTCCAGGCCTGGGCGACACAGCGAGACTGTGTCTCAAAAAAAAAAAAAAAAAAAGTTATATGTTTAGGTGCGTTCTTAATTAATTCTTTATGAAGGACATACTAAATTCTAGGAAGTGCACCAGAGCTCAGGTTACAGGAGAAAAAAATACTGTGTCAGTACTCTTTGAGTTCACAGTTGGGGAAGATACGTGGGCAAATAGGTCAATAAAGTACAGTTGATCCTTGAACAGTGTGCGGATCAGGGGTGTCGACCCCCACACCCGTGTAGTTGAAAACACGCATATAACTTTTGACCCCTCCCAAACTTAACTGCTAATAGTCTACTTTTGACTACTGGATGCTGTACCAATGACATCTGTGGATTAACACATAATTTGTATATGTATTATGTACTGCATTCTTTCCATAAAGTAAGCTAGAGAAAATGTTAATCAAATCATAGGAAGAAAATATATTTGCCATGCATTAAGTGCAGGTGGATCATTATACAGGTCTTCGTTCTGACATTTTTCATGTTGAGTAGTCTGAGCAGAAGGAGGAAGAGGAGGGGTTGGTCTTGTAGTCTCAAGGGTGCCAGAGACAGAGAAGGTGGGAGGGGAGGAAGGAGAGGTAGACGCAGTCAATATAGCTTTATGGAAATACATACTAATTTGTCTGTTTTGCTTTTTCAGCTCTCTAAAAATGTTTTTGTACAGTACCATTTCTTCCACTGTTTGCTTTAGTTTTAGTATCTGTGTTATAATAGGGGTCCATGTCAGAAGAAGTCACAGCAGTCTTGAATAACTGGAAGACTTCTGCCAGATTGCCTAATGTCAGTTTGTTTTCTGGCACTGCTTCTTCTACTTCTTTCTCATCATCTGGCACTTGTTTGGAAGCATTCATCTCCATCAAGTCATCTTCTGTTAATGCCTCTGGTGTGGTGTCTGTTAACTCTTGAATTTCTCCAAGGTGCCTATCTTAAACAACTATTCCCTCCCGACGTTTTTTATTTTTTATTTTTTCCATGTCCACAATGTTTCCCATAACTTCCTTGATTGACTGTTGTAAATCCTGCAGGAAACCACTTTGAGATACACCAGAAAACATATAATGAACATGGTAGGCAACCAGCACCTTCTGATACAAGTGGACACCTCTTCAGTTGTTTTTTCAGTGGCTTCACTAGCCCTGGAGTCCATATCACTGTTGTGTCTGTGCAGGTAAAGCATATAGCAGAGATACTGTGAAGGTTCACTACGGGGCCTGCTGGTATTCTGGCAGCATGATTGAAGGAATGAATACTAAGGTCATGTCTACACAGAGGGAGTTCCTCAACCTCCGGTAATTCCTTTTTTGCCTCCTTCCTGTCATTATACTCACAAAGAGAAACTATAGTCCTGAGTTGTAGCACCACAGATTTCTTTTACCTGTTTTTCTACTTCTCTACTTTTATTATACTCTCTACTTCTGTGAGATCAACTATTAGATTCCATTAGATCCACTATTAGATTCCATGTTTGACTTCTTTTGCTTAACATTATTTTTGTGAAATGATCCTTGTTAATGTGTGTCGTTGTGGCTGATCTATTCTTATTGCTGTATAGTATTATATAAATGTATTATAATTTATTATGTGTTCTACTGTTAGAAGGGATTTGGATAGTTTCCCATTTGTGGCCATTTCTTCAATGCAATTGTACCAGTTTATACTCTTACCAGTAGTATTTGGGAATGGTTGTTACTTCTCATCCTTATCAACACAATGTTTTTCTTCTTTCATTTCAGCTATTCTCAGAGGGTTGTGGTATGGCATTGTCATTTGGATTTGAACTGACGAAGTTGAGCACCCGTTTATATGCTTATTGGCCATTTGGGTAACCTCTTTTGTGAAAGGGTCTATCCATGTTTTTTAATTTTACAAATTTGGATTGTCTGCCTCTGTCCCATGGATTTGTAGGAGTTCTTTTATATTTTGGATAAGAGTTCGTTTCCAAATAAATTCATTACAAATATCTTCTATCATTCTGTAGCTTGCCTTTTCATTTTCTTATCTTTTGATTTCAGTCAAAACATATTCTGACTTAACAATTTTTTCTTAGTGGCTGGTGCTTTATGGCTATGTTTGCCTACTCCAAAATTTCGAAGATGATCTCCATGTTTTTTTTCCTAAAACCATTGATGTTTTACTTTTAAATATTTATGTCTGTACTTTATTGGAATTGACTTTTTTGTGTTTGGTGTGAGGCAGCGGTAAAGATGTGTTTATTTTTCCTGTATTGGTATCCTATTGACCTAGCACCATTTATTGAAAAAATGATTCTTTCCTTGCTATATCGCATCATCACTTTTTTAATAAATAAAGTCACACATAAATTAGGCAGATTTCTTTCTGGACTTTCCATTGGTTAGTGTGTGTCTTCAGGTTCTTCAGAAGGCTGGCTTTCTTTCTCTCAGAATTTGAGCCACACTGTACTGTGGGGACCTCAAGTTAAATCAGTAAAAATGGGAAACTCACCCTGTGGCAATTCCTTCTCACCTAAGTTGACTACCCAGCAAAATCTGTTTGCTTCTATTAAATCTGTAGAGCCTTCACATAATTGATTTTTGTGTATTGTTCAGAGTTTATAGTTGTTGTCTATGGTAGGATTGGTCTGTCATAAGCTTACTTTGCCATACTGGAATGAGCTCTTCCTATCCTTTTGTGACTGTAGTGATTTCTTCTTTTATTTATTGCTGATAAATAAATATCAGCAATTGAGAATGAGTTTCTTTTCCTTTTTTTCTTCATTGTTAATTTTGCTAGGGATTTTTCACGTAATCTTTAAAAATACTCAAATTTGGCTTTATTGGTTTTTCTCAGTCTTTACTTTCTACTTTCTGTTTAATCGATTACTATTTATTTATCATTTATTTCCTTCTACATTCCTTCATTTTGATTTGCTAAGGCTTTGTTTGTTCCGCCTTCTTATACTAAAAGCTTAATTATTGATTTTCTGCCTTTTCTAATATACCGTATGTAGTTAAGAGCGTGCACTAGCTGCTCCTATAACTTATGGCATTTTATGTTTTCATCATTTATTTCAAAATATTTACTACTTTTTGTTTTGATTTTCTCTTTGATCTGTAGATTATTTAGGACACTTTTGAAAGTACTGAAATACTGAATTATATTGGATGCTAGGAAAGCAGGAGTAAGCTGGGACTGACCAGGGCAAATGAGTACTTATATTCATTATAATTTTAGTGGATTTTAAAGTATAAATGGAAAACTGGGGTATTTAAATTAAAACTTAAAAAGCCATTGTATAGTCATGTGTTAGAATGTGCAGTGTAATAGGGTAAATGTGTCCAAGGGTTTTAGTTCAAGGAGATTTGTCAAGTAAATCTGTCTACAAGAAAAAATAAAGGCAAACAAAGTGTTTTTAATGGTCAACACAAAAACATTAAAATTTTTAGCAAAAAAAGAAAAGAAATTTCAGAGACTGGCCCAACATTTGTATGTCATTCAGTCTGGGACTTTTCTCCATATTTGCATGTAGCCAACATGAGGAATTAAATAACGGCTGACTGGTGTTCCTTTCACGTGTCAACCAGAGTCTCATAGACATAAAGCTACTGTGTTAAAGCATGTGTGATGTTCTAATTATCGTGGACATTTCTGCTGAGATGTGATCAATTTCCCTTCGGTTTGAATAATTATGGAAGCCTGGGAGTAGGCCAAATATTTAAAACTATTTCATATGAAAAAATCACATCTACTGATTTTGCCCGAAGGGTCCCACAGGCTCCTGAAGCTCCTCTCTAAAGAAATAAATAAATCCTGGACCAATGGGTAGTGTTAGAGTGAAATTTATTATTTTGACTACTGTTTCTTAGTTTAAGAGTCTGGATATGAAGTATGTTTTGATGAATTTCTTGCAGGATAAAATGAAAGTTGGATATCCTAGCAAACATTATTTTCATTAACTCAGAACCAAATTGGATCCATTTATTACATAATTTAAAAAATTACTAATGGCTCTTGTTCTATATAATTATTCTACCTCTTTTTGAATTCTGTTTTCGTAGGAAACTTTATTATTACTTTCAAATGTGATAGCATTCATTACATTCTCAACCTTGAATTATAATCTCTTCCACATCTATGTTCAAATTTAGTTTCTCATTTGTAGTACTATATCTTTGAATTTTCTCTCAGTTCGGATTTTTTCTCTCTGACTTTGAAGGACTTTAAAAATATCTATTTCGGTGATATTTTCATACAACAAGGTCTTTGATGTATGCATTAATTATTTTCATTTCTTTTTCTTTTTCTTTTTTTTTTGAGACAGTCTTACTCTGTTGCCCAGGCTGGAGTGCAGTGGCATGATCTTGGCTCACTGTAACCTCCACCTCCCAGGTTCAAGTAATTCTCATGCTTCAGCCTTCCAAGTAGCTGGGGTTACAAGCATGTGTTACCATGCCCAGCTATTTATTTATTTATTTATTTATTTATTTATTTATTTATTTGTAGAGATGGGGTTTCACTGTTTTGGCCAGGCTGGGCTCAAACTCCTGGCCTCAAGTGATCCACCTGCCTCGGCCTCCCAAAGTGCTGGGATTACAGGCATGAGCCACCATGCTCGGCCATTATTTTCATTTCTAAAACCCCTAATTTCTGTCTTTTTCTAAATGTATTTCTTCTTCCTGCTTCTGAGTGTCTTATTCTATTCTGTGTTGCTGTAACAGAATACCTGAGACTGGGTAATGTATAATGAACAGAAATATATTGGCTCACAATTCAGGAAACTGGGAAGTCCAAGATTGAGGGGCTGGTATCCAGCGAGGGTGTCCTTGCTGTGTTATCACATAGTGGAGTGGCCCAAGAGAGAGCAAGAGAGAACAAGAGTCAACTCTCAGCCTCAATCTCATTTATAATTTTCATTAATCCATTCATGAGGGTGGAGCCCTCAGACCTAAACACCTCCCATTTAGCCTCACCTCTCAACACTATTGCACTGGGAATTAAATTTTCAACACATGCTTTTTGGGGGACACATTCAGACTGTAGCACTTAGGTATGTTTTTTCAGTGTAGCAATTGTTAAAGCAGTAATTAAAATGCAGTTACAATAATCTATTGTAATACCCAGATGAACCCTGTCCAGTAGAACCTCCTATGTTGATGGAAATGTTCTGTATCTGCACTGTCCAGTACAATAGTCATTAAACACGTATGGTTATAGAGTACTTAAAATGTGACTGATATGACAGAGGAACTGAATTTTAATCTTATTTAATTTTAGTTATTTTAAGTTATTTATTTAAACAGCTGCATGTGGCTAGTTTGTACTATATTAAATCACACAGCTTTAGATCAAGCTTTGGCAACCTTTTTCTATAAAAGACCAAATAGTAAATATTTTAGGCCTTGTAGTCCATATGGTCTCTGTTACAACTTTTCAACTCGCTGTGAGAGCACAAAAGCAGTCACAGATAACATGTATATGAATGAGCATGACTTTGTCCCAGTAAAACTTTATTGGCTAAAACAGAGTCTGCTGAATTTGACTCATGGGCCCTAGTTTGGCAACCTCTGCTCTAGGTTGAAAAAAAAAAGTGTCTACAGCTTTATGTATTTTTATTTCATTTGCCCTGTGTTCCGAGTCCTTTCAACACCCTCTCTTTGGGGAGTGTGTGTGTGTGTGTTTGTGTGTGTGTGTGTGTGCATATGTGGAACAGATTTTTGGAGGGGAGAGAGGAGTGTCTTTTCCTGAAAGTTTAGGAAGATTAACTCCTTTGGATTGTTCCTCTTCAACTTTTTCTCCACCTTTTCTATTTTTTCTGAATGGGAGAAGGTGGTGGCAGACAGGCATATATTTTATGTTTAAACTCTGTTCTTTTAATTCTATATCTCTTGTTTTACAGAGACATAGAATTTTTTTTCCTCCCTGAATTACCTCTGATTTCTCCAGGGTTGCTTATTCAGACTAATTATTTTCATTATGGACCTTCTTTCTCATGCTCGTGTTTTCCTTAAATGTTGGCTCTTTATTCATGTTGATAAGTGAAGGACCAGTGGAATAATATAGTAACTGGAGTGGGTTTTCTCTTTCTTTGTTTTCCCATCAAATCTTTAGCCTAAATGGAAAAAAAAAGACTGACCAATTTTCTTGTGGGTTGGTAGGACTTAATTTATTGGTGTACTTTGCTTTAATGTGCATAATCAAGGAGCAAGTACACAGACCAGTCGTTCTCTAATAGCCAGATGAGGAGGCCCCTAACCTAGCTCTCCAACCTCCATACTTGGAGACCAAATTCTTCTCAGGCAGATTACACTTTATTTATTTATTTATTTATTTATTTATTTATTTATTTATTTAAGAAGTTAGCCTCCAGAACTGCTGATTTTAGCTCAGAACCCCTTTGGAGTCACAGGAAGAAGCGTCTCATCTTCCTGAAGCATTCTCATGTTTGTGCTTGGCTAGGGGTGGGCATACATTTTCTGGGACCAGATGGTAAATATTTTAGGTTTTGCGGGTAATATGACCTCTTAACTCTTCCATGGGAAAGTAGCCAGAAATAACATTAACAAATGAGTATGGCTGTGTTTTAATAACACTTTGTGGACACTGAAATTTGAATTTCATGTAGTTTTCACATGTTATAAAAAATATGCTGCTGCTTTAGTCTTTCAGCCCTTTAAAAAATGCAAAAGCATGTGATGGGCTGGGAGATTTACCCTGTGAACTATAATTTGCTAACCATATCTGGACTGTCATTCGCTCCATCCAAACCTATCACTATGATTTTATATGCCTGGTCTTCCAGAAATTCTTCAAAATCTCTAGTGTGCCTTTCACTCCTTTTCTCAGCATTTATTTCTATTTATTTTTTAAAACGTACTGTCGTTTCAGTGTAGTGTTTTTTGTTTTGTTTTGTTTTGTTTTGTTTTTTGATACGGAGTCTCACTCTGTCGCCCAGGCTGGAGTGCAATGACGTGATCTCAGCTCACTGCAAGCTCCGCGTCCCGGGTTCACGCCATTTTCCTGCCTCAGCCTCTTGAGTAGCTGGGACTACAGGTGCCCGCCACCACGCCCAGCTAATTTTTTTGTATTTTTAGTAGAGACCGGGTTTCACCATTTTAGCCAGGATGGTCTTGATCTCCTGACCTCGTGATCCGTGCACCTTGGCCTTCCAAAGTGCTGGGATTACAGTGTAAGCCACCTCGCCCGGCCCTCCGTGTAGTTTTTGAAGAGAGTAGCAGTAAATTTATCTGCAGTTTTGAACCAGAATCCCATTTAGGCATGATATTTGAATCAAAAGACACATGGTAAAACTGAAATGTAAAGTATCTTCTTTAGTATCTTCTTCAGTATCTCCACTCCTCTCTCCATGGATGTATTGGTGATTAATTATATTAAGTAATGTTTTTGTTGAATGCCTATTGTAGTCCCTGTAATGTTGTGAATGCTTTATATATTATTTAATCCTCACACATTTTATAGATGAGTGTGTTCAGAAGTTAATGGAGTCACATAAAGGATAAGTAACTTGTTCTATCTAGGTCAGAAAGCTCGTAAGTGGAAGATCTAGGATTCACAATAGAGCTAGCCTGTCTGACTACAGAATTCATACTCTTATCCACTATTTTCCACTTCAGTCCAAATACAGGCTTAGTTTCCTCCTCAGGGTAGCTTTTTATGTAGCCAGTTTATGGATATTAGCATAAAACATGAAGCATATTTGCTCTGCTAAAATAGGTATATATTCAGAGTGATTAATATGGTGAGAAAAAGTGATGGGAAAGCAATTGAGGTAGTAACTGGAATATAGGTAGCTGGGAGGTGAAAGATTTTGAGTTTCATAAGACTTGTTTTAATCCTGTCAAAAAAAAATTAGACCTCTTTGTTTCTCCAGGGCATAGAAATTTCAGTTTCAACCCAGATTAAAGAACTTTATAACAGTGTTGTCCAGTGGTGAAACAGAATCCTTTGTAATTTAAAAATATTTCCTTCTTAAAACCTTTAGAATTTTAATTTTATAGTTCTGCTTATTATATTTTTTATTTCCCAAAGTGAAAGGTTCAAAGAATAACATTAAAGGTCATTTGGTATTACAATTTTTCCATTAGTCAAAATTAAAGATTTGAAAATAATTTTATAGTCCATTTGGTATTCTAAGGTTGGATTTTTTAAGAATATAAAGCAAATTATGTTTTTTCTATTAACATTTCCTAAATCAACTCACATGAAAATTAATAGATTATCATCATACATGACGATCGTTTTTCTCTCACTGAGCATTGGAATATGTTCACTTTACTACTTATCAGTAGCCCAGTTTTGATTTTCTAACTGAAGTATTTGTGTCTGCCCTCTGAACTGGCTCAAGGTTTTGAGCCCTTTAAAAAAATTTGTGTATGTGTGATAAAAATATACGTAACATAAAATTCACTACTTTCATCATTTTTAAGTATAAGTGAAGTCACATTAAGAGTACTTACAATGTTGTGTAATCATTGCCACTATTTCTAAAACTTTTTCATCATTCAAGAAGAAATATTGTACCCCGCCGGGTGCAGTGGCTCACGCCTGTAATCCCAACACTTTGGCAGGCGGATCACGAGGTCAAGAGATCGAGACCATACTGGCTAACATGCTGAAACCCCGTCTCTACTAAAAATAGAAAAATTAGCTGGGCGTGGTAGCGCGTGCCTCTAGTCCCAGCTACTTGGGAGGCTGAGGCAGGAGAATTGCTTGAACCCAGGAGGCGGAGGTTGCGGTGAGCGGAGATCGCACCACTGCACTCCAGTCTGGCGACAGAGCGAGACTCCCATCTCAAAAAAAAAAAAAAAAAAAGAAAAGAAATATTGTACCCAAGAAGCAGTAACTTGTTATTCTCTCTTGTTTCAACCACTAATAACCTGTATTCTACTCTCAGTGAATTTGCCAACTTATTATAAGCACCTCATATAAGTGGAATCATACTATATTCTTGTTAATATTTGCATAATATTTTTCACTTAGCATAATGTTTTTCAAAGTTCATGTATTTTGTATCATATATTAAAACTTCATTTTTTTATGGCTGAATAATCTATTGCAGATGCTCTTTGACTTATGATGGAGTTATGTCCTGATAAACCCAATTTAAGTTGAAAATACCATAAGTTGAAAATGTATTTAATACCCTGATAAACCCATTATAAGGTTGAAAATCATAAGTGAAACCATTGCTAAGTCAGGGACCATCTGTGTGTGTATATATATATAATATGTAATACATATATGTAACATGTGCAATCTTATATAAGATTATAGTATATGATATAAGATTATCATATATAATAGATGATATATATGATATACGTAATAGATGATATATCATTGTATATAATATATAAGATTGTATTATATATGATATAAGATCATATATATCAGATATATATAAGATTATATAATATACTCTTAGATATATAAAATTATAGATTATATAATGTATAATATATGTTATATATAGGATTATCTATTATAATATATGATTATCCTATATCAGATTACATATGTAAATTATAACATATTAACATCATTTAGCATTAGGATGTACCCTAAAATTTAAAGTATAATAATAATAAAATTTTAAAAAGTTATAACATATATATAAGATAACATATTTATAATATACACACACACACACACACACATATATCACAGTTTGTTTATCCATTCATCTGTTGATAGACTCTTGGGTTGTTTCTACCTTTGGCTATTGTAAATAGTGCTACAGTGAACATTGGCATAGAAGTATCTGTTTGAATCTCTGTTTTCATTTCCTTTGGGTATATACCATACAATGGAATTGCTGGATTATATGAAAATTCTATGATTAACTTTTTAAGGTATCACCAAACTGTTTTCCACATTGGCTGTACCATTTTGCATTCCCACCAGGAGTGCGGAAGGGTTACAATTTCACCACATCCTTAGCAACATTTGTTATTTTCTGTTTTTTTGATAATAGTCATCCTAATGCATATGATGTGATATCTTATTGTGGTTTTGATATGCATTTCCCTAATGACTAGGGATGTTTAACATCTTTTCATGTGCTTATTGGCCATTTGTATACCTTGTCTGGAGAGATGTCTTTTGAAAACCTTTGCCGGTTTTGAATTGAGTAATGGCTTTGTTTTTTTTTTTTTTGCGGGTTTTTGAGTTATAGGAGTTCTTTATATATTCTGGACCGTGACCCTTAATTAGATGTATGATATGCAAATACTTTCTCCTTGTGATAGTATTTTTTGTTGCTCAAAAGTTTTTAATTTGAGAAAGTCTAGTTTATATATTTTTATTTCTTTTGTGACCTTTGTTTTTGTTGCCATATTCAATGAATCATGGCCAATCAAGAGTTGTGTAGTTTTAGCTCTTCCATTTAGGTTTTTGATCTATTTTGAGTTAATTTTATATGGTGTAAGACAAAAGTCCAACTTCATTCTTTTTTATGTTGATATCTAGTTTTCTCAATACCATGTGTTGAAAAGACTGCCTTTTCCCCATTGAATGGTCTTGGCACCCTTGTCAAAAATCATTTGACCATTTATGTCAATGCTATTTCTGTGCTCTTTATTCTATTCCATTGGTCTATAGATCTGTCATTATGCCAGTACCACGTTTTTGCTTACTATAACTTTGTACTAAATTTTGACTCAGGGCTTAAAATAATAATATCAACATTTGAAATCAGCGTGTAAGTCCTTTCGCCATGAGTGTAAGTTTCCCGAGGCCTTCCCAGCCCTGCAGAACTGTGAGTCAACTAAACCTCTTTTCTTTATAAATTATCCAGTCTCAGGCAGTTCTTTGTGCATGCCTGAGGCTAGCATGAGAATGGACTAATACAGTAAATTGGTACTGAGGGAGAGGGGCACTGCTATAAGGATACCTGAAAATGTGGAATTGACTTTGGAACAGGGTAACAGGCAGAGGTTGGAACAGTTTGGAGGGCTCAGAAGAAGACAGGAAAATGTAGGAAAGTTTGGAACTTCCTAGAGACTTGGAAGGCTCAGAAGACACGAAGATGTGGGAAAGTTTGGAACTTCTTGGAGACTTGTTGAATGGCTTTGACCAAAATGCTGATAGTGATATGGACAATGAAGTCCAGGCTGAGGTGGTCTCAGATGGAGATGAGCAACTTACTAGGAACTGGAGCAAAGGTAACTCTGCTATGCTTTAGCAAAGAGACTGGTGGCATTTTGCCACTGCCCTGGAGATCCGTGGAACTTTGAACTTGAAAGAAATGATTTAGGGTATCTGGTGGAAGAAATTTCTAAGCAGTGAAGTATTCAAGAGGAAACAGAGCATAAAAGTTTGGAAAATTTGGGCTGGTCGCGGTGGCTCACGCCTGTAATCCCAGCACTTTGGGAGGCCAAGGTGGGCGGATCACGAGGTCAGGAGATTGAGACCATCCTGGCTAACACAGTGAAACCTGTTTCTACTAAAAATACAAAAAATTAGCTGGGCGTGGTGGCGGGCACCTGTAGTCCCAGCTACTTGGGAGGCTTAGGCAGGAGAATGGCGTAAGTAAATCCGGGAGGTGGAGCTTGCAGTGAGCCTAGATCACACCACTGCTCTCCAGCCTGGGTGACAGAGTGAGACTACTTTTCAAAAAAAAAAAAGTTTGGAAAATTTGCAGCCTGACTATGTGATATAAAAGAAAAACCCATTTTCTGGGGAGAAATTCAAGACAGCTACAGAAATTTGCATGAGTAACAAGGAGCCCAGTGTTAATCACCAAGACAATGGGGAAAATGCCTCTAGGACATGTCACGGCAGCCCTTTCATCACAGGCCTCTAGAAGGGAAAAATGGTTTCCTGGGCAGGGCCCAGGGTTGCCCCTGTTCTGTGCAGTCCTGGGGCATGGTGTCCTGCATCCCAGCTGTGTCAGCTCCAGCCATGGCTTAAAGGGTCAAAAGTACGGCTTGGGCCATTGCTTCAGAGGGTGCAAGCCCCAAGCCTTGGTGACTTCCATGTGGTGTTGGGCCTGTGGGTGCACGTAAGTCAGTAATTGAGGTGTGGGAACCTCCTCCTAGATTTCAGAGGATATATGGAAATGCCTGGATGACCAGGCAGAAGTCTGCTGCAGGGGTGGAGCACTTGTGGAGAACCTCTGCTAGAGCAATGAGGAAGGGAAATGTGGAGTTGAAGCCCCCACACAGAGTCCCCACTGGGGCATGGCCTGGTGGAGCTGTGAGAAGAGGGCCATGGTCCTCCAGACCCCGGAATGGTAGATCCACTGACAGCTTGCACCGTGCACCTGGAAAAGCTGCAGACACTCAAAGCCAGCCCATGAAAGCAGCCAGGAGGGGAGCTGTACCCTGCAAAGCCGTAGAGGCGGAGTTGCCCAAGGCCATGGGTGCCCACCTCTTGCATCAGTGTGACCTGGATATGAGACATGGAGTCAAAGGAGATCATTTTGGAACATTAAGGTTTGAAGACTTCTCTATTGGATTTTGGACTTGTATGGGGCCCACAGCCCCTTTGTTTTGGCCAATTTCTACCATTTGGAATGGGTGTAGTTACCCAACGCTTGTACCCTTGTTGTATCTAGGAAGTAACTAACTTACTTTTGATTTTGTAGGCTCATAGGTGGAAAGGATTTGCCTTGTCTCAGATGAGACTTTGGACTTGGACTTTTGGGTTAATTCTGGAATGAGCTAAGATTTTAGGGAACTGTTGGAAAGGCATGATTGTGTTTTGAAATGTGAGGACATGAAATTTGGGCGGGGCTGGGGTGGAATGATATGGTTTGATTACGCCCCCACCCAAATGTCATCTTGAATTACAGTTTCCATAATCCCCACATACTGTGCAAGGGAACTGGTAGGAGGTAACTGAATCATGGCGGGGGTGGGTTACCCCCATACTGTTCTAGTGATAGTGAGTGAGTTCTCCTGAGATCTGATGGTTTCATAAGGGGCTTTCCCCTCTTTGCTTGGCACTTCTCCTTCCCGCCACCATGTGAAGAAGGATGTGTTTGCTTCTCCTTCCACCATGATTGTAAGTTTCCTGAGGCCTCCCCAGCCCTGCAAAACTGTGAGTCAAATAAACCTCTGTTCTTTATAAATTACCCAGTCTTGGGCAGTTCTTTATAGCAGCATGAAAATGGAGTAATACAGTTGTTTTGGCTTTTCAGGGTCCCTTAACATTTTTTGTAGAAAAACTACAGGCATGCATCATCTTATTTGTGCTTCCCTGTATCGAGCTTTGAAGAACTGCATTTTTTACAACTTGAAGATTTGTGACAACCCTGCAATTAGCAAGTCTATTGGTGCCATTTTTCCAACAGTACATGCTCACTTTGTGTCCCTGTGTCACATTTTGGTAATTCTTGCAATATTTCAAACCTTCTTATCATTATTATATCTGTGATGGTTATCTGTGATCAGGATCTTTGGTGTTGCTATTGTAATTGTTTTGAGGCACCAGAAACCGTGCCCATGTAAGAATGTTAACTTAATCAGTAAATGTATGTGTGCTAACTGTTCTATCAACCAGCTGTCCCCCCAGCTCTCCTTCGCTGGCCTCCCTATTCACTCCCTATTCACTTCATTGTGTCACTGAGACATAACAATATTGAAATTAGGAAAATTAACCATACAGTGGTCTTTAAAGTGGTCTTTAAGTGTTCAAGTGAAAGAAAGCATGGCATATTTGTCACTTTAAATCAAAAGCTAGAAATGATTAAGCTTACCAAGGAAGGCTTGTTGAAAGCTGAGACAGGCCAAGAGGTAGGCCTCTTGCCAAACAGTTAAGCTGTGAATGCAATGGGAAAAGTTCATAAACTCATGAATGTTAAGAAAGAGAAATGACCTTATTACTCATATGGAGAAAGTTTTAGTTGTCTGGATAGATCAAACCAGCCACAATGTTCCTTCAAGTCAAAGTCTAATCCAGAGTAAGATCCTGTTTTTTTCAATTCTATGAAGGCTGAGAGAGGTGAGGAAGCTGCAGAAGAACATTTGAAAGATAGCAGAGGTTGTATTAATGAGGTTTAAGGAGAGAAGCCATAACATAAAAGTGTATGGCAAGCTGCAGCAAGTTACCTCTATCTAGCAAAGATAGTTGATATAGGTGGGTACATGAAGTGACAAATTTTCAATGTAGATTAAACAGCCTTCTGTTGGAAGAAGATGCTATCTAGGACTTTTCATAGCTGGAGAGAAGTCAATGCCTGGCTTTGATGCTTCTCAGGACAGGCTCACTCTCCTAAGGGGATAATGGCAACTGGTGTCTTTAAGTTGAAGCCAGTGCTCATTTACCATTATGAAAATCCCAAGGCCCTTAGGAATTATACTAAAGCTACTCTGCCTGTTCTTTATAGACAGAACAACAAAGCCTGGGTGACAGCACATGTGTTTATAGCATGGTTTACTGAATATTTTAAAATGTGTGGGTCTCCCATGTATGTCTAGAGGATCTCTGCCATCATAAGAGAATTCTTCAAAGATCTTTCCTGGATAATCTCATCTCTGTTTCTAGCTTCTGCTGAAAAGGTTGATTTGGACCCATTAGTCACATACCTAATCTCTTCAGAAAAGGTTTTTCAGCCACATCCTTGGCCCTTCTCCAGAGCATGTTTTAGCATCTTTTACAATTTAGATAGGTTAAGAAATCTCCAAATCATAGGTTTTTCTTTGCTTAACAATTTCTTCCTCAATTTATCTCTTCTCTCACATTTTACTGTAAGCAGCCCGGAGAAAACAGTCTACGCCTTTAACACTTTGCTTGGAAATCTCCTCAGCTACATATTCAAGTTAATTGCTTACCAAGTTCTACGTTTTGCCACATAGTAGAACCCATTTCAGCCAAGTTTTCTGCCACTTTACAACAAGGACTGCTATTTCTTTACTTTCCAATACCATGTTCTTCATTTCCTTCTTGAGAGTTCATCAGAAACCTTTTTAATGTTCCTATTTCTGTCAACATTCTGTTCATGATAATGTATGTATTCTTTAAGGTGATAGCTTTCTTTACCTCTTCTCTTCCTTCTGAGCCATTAGCAGAGTTCTCTTAAGATTTCTTTTTCTACCAAAAATTTCTTCAAGGCAACCTAGGCTTTTTCTGTTTTTCTATTTTTAGGTATCACAGCAACACTCCAGTTTTTGGTATGAAAATCTATGTTAGTTCTCTAAAATTACCATAACAAATGAACAAAAACTTGGTGACTTAACACACAGAGATCAATTTTCTAACAATTTTGGAGGTCAAAAATACGAAGTCAAGTTGTCAGCTATGTTTATTATGAAAACTCTAGGGGGGCATCCTTCTTTGCTTCTGCAGCTTATGGTGTCATGTTATTCCTTGCCCTGAGACAGTGTAACTCCAGGCTGACTTCATTTTCACATTGTTCTTTTCTCTGTGTCTTCCTGTGTCCTTTTCTGTCTCTAATGAGGACGTTCCCGTTGGATTTAGGACCCTTTGTAATCTACTATGATCTCACATTGGTCCTTACCTTAATTACATCTGCAAAGACCCTTTTTCCAAATAAGGTCATGTTCTGAGGTTCCAGATGAACATGAATTTGGGTAGGGGAGGCAGGAAGGGGGACCATTTCTCAACTCACTATAGTCTCTTTTTAGGTAATTATATTATAAATGGTGTTGTATAATCTATATACAAATTTTAAAAAATTTCAAGGCTTGTGAATAATTATTATGACATTATGTTACAACGTACTAATACCTTTAATGTTTATATTAGAGAGTGCTGAACAGGAAAATCACTTTTCTTCTCAGACTTTATAATATATATAGAAGTAGGGGGTTATTTAATGAACTGCTTTTTTTTTTTTTTTAGATGGAGTCTCGCTTTGTCACCAGGCTGGAGTGCAATGATGCTATCTCAGCTCACTGCAACCTCTGCCTCCTGGGTTCAAGTGATTCTCCTACCTCAGCTTCTCGAGTAGCTGGGATTACAGGCGCGCGCCACGATGCCCGGCTAATTTTTGTATTCTTAGCAGAGGCGCGTTTTCACCATGTTGGCCGGGATGGTCTCGATCTCTTGACCTCGTGATCCACCCACCTTGGCCTCCCAAAGTGCTGGGATTACAGGCATGAACCTTTGCTTTTTAATGTGGATAGTGCACATTACATACACACACATATGTGAATAAATAGCGCTAAAGTTCTGTTGATTTAGAGAAGTTGGTTACTCAATATTTACTCACATCAATGTAGTAAGATCCTAAATTACCTCTTTATTAGAATAGTGGTTGTCTCTAGTTTTTTGGAATGATTAGAGATTAGATGTGAGATTAGATTTCCTCGAAATTTTTGCGTGTTTCAAGATCGAATTTAAAAACATTTAGCAAGTTCTTAAATAACTCAGGAGAATTTTTTATGAATAACAAATACAATTTAAGTATATTTAGATGTGTCTTCCAATTATGTGAGATTGTTAAGATTTTTGAGATCAAACATGGTGCTTGTAAGTGGATGAAACGATATATTTAAACAGACTATTGTTACAGGAGAAAACTCATTTTTAAAGGTACCAGGTTAAAAGAAAAAAAAAGTGGTAGTGTCATAAAGAGAGAAGATTGAATTAAAAATTTGAATTGATACAGAAATGCATTACAAAAGAGGAGGAAGAGAGATTGGCAGAAATGAAGAATTATCAGAAAAGTGAAATGTGTAAAAGCAAAGGCAAGAGATAAGATAAGAAGACTAAGGAGAGCAAAAGATGATAAGTAATGCAACTAATGGTTTACTGCTAAAGGGTAGAAGATTAATATATCAGAGTTTCTCTCAGCTTCAGTCAAATTGATGGTAATTATTAGAGTGAAACCGTATTCTTTATATCATTCGCCAAAGTTAAACTGCTTGTGTCATTTTGTCAGAAAATAGGAATCATTTTACGTATTAAATTTCAAGTAAATGTTATGTATTAATAACATTGATATGTGATATTGTATATTATATAGATATATGCAATTATGCATATTTAAAAGTGAATATGCATATATTGTTTTAAAGGCAAAAGTTTGTTTTTTGTGGCAGACACTGAAAAGTCACACGCAAACTCACACAAAGCAAACTTTAACATTTCAAATAAAAATAAAACTTTTTGGCCGGGTGCGGTGACTCATGCCTGTAATCCCAGCACTTTGGGAGGCTGAGGCAGGCGGATCACAAGGTCAGGAAATCAAGAGCATCCTGGCTAACACGGTGAAACCCCGTCTCTACTAAAAATACAAAAAAATTAGCTGGGCATGGTGGCGGGTACCTGTAGTCCCAGCTACTCGGGAGGCTGAGGCGGGAGAATGGCGTGAACCCGGGAGGTGGAGCTTGCAGTGAGCCGAGATTGCACCACTGCACTCCAGCCTGGGCAACAGAGCGAGACTCCGCCTCAAAAATTAATAAATAAATAAATATATATAAAAAATAAAAAATAAAACTTATTTTCTTAATCATAAGAACTGAGATAGAATTATTATAATTGACTATGAGGCAGGTTTTGACATTCAAGTCAGTGTCAAACGTATTGCTTTGCCTTTGTCATATTATAACTGGTCACAAGGTTTTTTTTACAGTATCACACACATTCCTTATATTCAGTACATATCTAATTTAGTCTTATATCACTAGTATTGTATTCTGCTTTTCTACCGCTTTTTTATTCTTAAAATTAACCTCAGGTATTCATGCTGACCTGCAGAAGTTAATGTTTGTATCCTTTCTATGTCTCAGTCTAGAACAGTTTAATGAACTGTTGATGGTTGCCCTGTCAACTCATTTAACTCTTGGAACATAGTTCTTTCTAGGTTGATCTCATATAATCTATTAGCTATTACTTTCTTCTCTGACCTGAATTCTCTGATGGATAAAGGACTTTAATATTGTCTGTTTTTTTAAGTCATTTTTTCCAAAGCGTCATAAAATTCCTGAATTCAAGATCTCATGGACCCATTAAGAGGAAGACGCACCGTTACAACTGTCATTCAGTCATAGTATAGACTACTAATTCAACTCAATATGGTTGAAAATAGCCTTCAACTAATGTAATTTTGATTTCCTGCTTTAGGATTCCTGAAATTGTGGATCACCCACCTATGCTTTAAGACATGCTTTATTTTTTTTTTTTCTGGAAGCCCTGCAACTTCCCTAAAAATTGAATGAATTGTAGAACAGACCTATGGTAAGTGGGCTTTTTCCTCCTTTTTCTTCTGTCGGTTTCATGTTCAACTTAACTCTTATGACTGTTGTAATGCTGCTCCCTGCTGGACACAATGTAATTTTGTAAAGTTGGCACTTAATAGATGGGCAAATAACTGGTTAGTTGGACCCACTAAGGAGGGGAATCTTTGGCTACATTCACAAAAACCAATAGTATGCAACAAAAGCAACTATTATAAAGGTGCTATATCATTGCCATCATGTTGGTACCTGGAGCCTGATGAAAGTACTGATAGTCTTGTTTCAAAATTTCATTGTCTGCTTCCTGTTGAGCAGCATCTAAAAGTTGGAATAACTGTACACACTGAAGGATGCTTCTAGGTGGTGAACCTTTGAGGATTTTGTAAATTGTGTAGGGTTTTTTTGTAATGTAAGTTAGTTTACTGTTAAATGTTCTGTAATAATTTCCATTCCCTGTACTTTTGTTTTTCCAAAGAAAATATCTAAAACTGCCCCAGTATAATTTACATTAGACATTGTATAACTATGCTATAATCCAGCTATCATGTTTTCTAGTACTCACAGTGTGGATTTCATCTGTAGTGTCTGTGACTTGCCTATCATGGACCTTCATGTTGTATGCATAGACAAGTGCTCCCAAAATTATTTTAAAATGTGTGAAAGTCAGAAGTGTGTTTCTTCCTACCTTAGGGCTAAGCTATTGTATTTTTTGAAATGCAGCATGCCTCAAATTATTACCTGAATATCATTTGGAATTAATGAGCATGCATTTTCTTGAAAAGAAGACTGACAGACAGAAACAACATGGAGCTGCTAAGCCAAGATCTAGCAGGATAACTGATCTTATATTATTTAAAGGCTGAAATCTACTTTTAATTAGGATTGTGGAGAATTAGGCATAGTAACTTATTTCTTCCTTATTAAAATATTGCATTAAAAATTAGAAATGTAGATCAAGGAAATTGTTGATAGCAGAAAGGAATCCTTCCTTTTTATAAAAATATATTAGTATTATTTTAGAAAGTATATAATTATAACTTTTTGTTGTAAAATATAGTGATACAGGAACATAAATATATAATACAATGAATAATTATAAATTAAATATTTAGCATACATCTTTGTAACCTTAGAGTATTACTGGCATCCCAGAAACTCTTGATATGCTTTCTTTTCTTTAGAGGTAACCAGTATCATGACTTTAATGGTAATTATTTATACAATTTTTAATATAACTTTGTCACTTTACGTGTATTCCTAAGCAGTATGTTTACTTTTTTCGCCTCATTTTAATCTTTATGAATCGTGTATTCTTTCTTCCTTTGCTCAGCATTATGTTTTGAAGAGTTATCCATGTAGTTATGTGTAGTTTTATTTCATTCATTTTTGTTATTATGTATTATCCCTTTGAATTAAATGTGCCAGAATTTATTCATCCATTCTGCTGTTGGTAGATCATTGAGTTGTTTCTAGTATTTGATGACATTGCTGAGAATGTGTTTTAAAAAATATCCTGGTTACATATCATGTGTACATTTGTTTATATCCTGACAGTAACAATATTAAATGTTGGGGAACATTCTAAAATGATTATCATTTCTTTTATTGTAGGCCTTACATATATAGTAAAGTGACATATAGTTTGAGATAGTTTAAATATAGAGTACATATAAATAGATCTAGTTATAGTATTGATGTAGATACAGGACCTAATGCAGTAACTCTGTTTCACTTTGTTAGCACACTTATTCTATTTAGTAACATATCATGCCTTCTATAACTCCTTCACTTTACTGATGAAGAAACTAAGGACTAGAGAGATTGAGTCACTTGAACAAGGCCATTTAGCAAATTGGAGCTAGAAGCCAGACTAACCTATCTACTTTGGCAGTTACAACTTAAAGTAAAATGAAATCAGGACATTTTCTTGAGTGTTCCAGTCATTTAAGTGAAAATATGCCTAAATAGCTTGCAGAAAAAATCAGATATTCCTTCGGCTATTAACTAACAACTGGCTTAGCATAGAAAGTTGCATGTCTATCGTAAGGAGAGGTCATTACAAAAAAAAAAAGGGAAAAAAAAGTTTCACATCTAAAGCCCCCATAGTTATTGCACTTTATCACAGTTCATCTTCTAAAGGGCAACCACTGTATATTCTGATTTTAACCGAGAAGTTTTACTTTGAGTACTTCATCAGAAAAACGTGTGTCTTTGTTCTCTTAAACAGAATACATTTTAAGTTTTTTTATAATGGCTCTGAGTTGTTACTGTGAACATCAGTCATTTTACAGAATTAAAGTGATTTCCTCGGAATTCTATGCTGTGTTGGACTGTTTTCTTCTAAATTATCCTAGCCTGATAAGCTTTTTTGTCCTCAGAGCTACTGTGATGTGTTTTCTCATTTGTTTTGTTTTCTTTTACATTTGTTAGGTAATTCTTGCTTTTTGTTGTCAGTGCCTTCCGTTTGACTCATATTTAAAATCAACGCATTTGCCTAACATTATGTATTACTTAGGTGAGAGCTTAAGTATGGTTCTGTCACATCTGCTGACTATAAGAGTAGAGAATGTGTGCTAGCATTTTAAAATTCATTTTGGTATCAGCAACTAGTCTAGCCACTTTGTTTTTACAGGATATTGAGATAACCTCAGACCGATTTCTGTCTGACCGACTGATTTCTGTCTAATATATATGCAACATAGGTTGCGTATCCTTATTTGGGGAATAAATATGATCATTTACATGTTTTCCAGCTAAACAGTTGTAGGATTATTGAAAGTGATTTACTTAAGTATGACTTCAAATAGGAAGTCCAGTGGACTTGGTGTTTGTTTTCTAATTATTAAATATTTGATAGGATAGACATTGAAATAAAAATAATACATTAGATGATACTACCTGTTAAAAATGGCAGTTACAAAGGTTAAATCACCTTTGAAATTACGGCTTTAAAAAATATAGAAGTAACACAGATTTGACTTCATGAAAACATTTAAGTGGTTTAGGAAAACATTCATTTAGAAGTGAAATGCATTTGACTTCGTATCCATTTATAAACTATTGAATGTGAATTTTTTAAAAAACTGGAATAGGGAGTATATTTGTTTTTGGAGCACAGGAGATATTAGAAAGACAAACAGTTGCTATCCCAGCACATTTAGGCATTAATATGCTGATTTACTGAGTTTATATGAGGTTTGTTTTTTAATTTGAAAATTTATTTGCTTTTAACCTTTCTAAGTCAACAAATTTTACATTTGCATCTGGGAAAAAAATAAGCCAAGAGCTTTATGTAGTTTATTGCAGTGAGCACATCGTTGGAAATTGCCTTATAAACAAAGTATTTTAGAGGCCCGGAGAGAGGAATAGCTTTTTTTCAGGATAAATCAGAGATGCATAGGTTGTGGAAGTGCAAAATGATGCAACTCCTGTGGAATGCAAATTGGCAATTTCTAGAAAAAGACCAATGCATTTACCTCATCTCAGTACCAATTTTGGGAATTTATTACAGAAATTCTTGTGTGTACTTACAAAATAACATATGTATAGGAGTTTTCATTGTAGCTTTGTGTGTGGTAGCAAAAGATTGGAAATTCCTTAGTGTCTATAGGCAACGTGTTCGTTAAATGAACTATGACAACTACACAATGAAATACTCTACAGCTGTTAAAAAAAGTGGATTTTTTTTTCTATATGAACATTTGGAAAGTTTTTCACATACCATTGTTATTTGGAAAAAGCAGAATTCAAAACAATGTACAGTAAGGTACTTTTTGTGTAAATTGGGAGGGGAATAAAACCATATATTCATATTTGCTTATATTTACATAACAAAATCTGGAAGTTTATACAACATCTAAGTCTTTGTGGGGATGAAGAAGAAAACAGGGAAGATGGGACTTTTACTGTATATATCTTTTAGATTAGTTTTAACTTTTGAATATGTTAATATGTTAGTAGTTGAAAATAGTTTTATTTGTAAATCAAATGAGAGTGAAAGGGGTAAGCCTGCTATATTTACTGTAAAATTAGCTATTTTTATTCTATTTTCCCTAGAGCCTGACAGATAGTAAGCAGTGAATAAATAAATATTTGTTATACAAATTAAACAAACTATAATAATCTTTGGATGATCTTTCCTAGCTTATCTCTTAAAGCATCTTTTCAATATAAGAAAAAAAGTATTATAAATCATATTGATTCTAGTATGGAAACAAGGGAAATATTTAATTGGGAGATATGAGATGTATAGTTTATTATCAGATTATCATGAAGCTTTATTTAATGTGTATGGTATTGTTATTAAAGAGTAAATTATATTTTAATTTCATTGAAAAAATGATAGTTTTCAAGGAATGCTATTAAATTAAGTAATACACATTCATGATTAACAAACTAACGCTTATGAAATTTGGGAGGAAGAGTGAAAACGGCAATCATATATTCTGTATACTGCATTCTGTACCACTTTAGTTTCCCACATATAAAGGCAAATCTTCAGTCCGGAGACTATTTTAAAAGCTGTGTTATAATAGCAGTATCAGTTACTTCCAACACGAAGACTGGATATCTCTGAATACATGATTGGGATCAAGGGAAGATAATAGGGTGAATGTTATAAATGTCTTCCATTTATAAGCATCCAGGAAGTTAACTAAGTAGTTGAAAATTTGGTTATTCAAATAGATACGGTAACAACCCTCAGTTTTCTCCCTTGGATTATATACATGTCAGTTCCTAAATTTCTTATGACAAGGATTTAGACTATCTTTATACATCTGTGTATTTTTATGTAAAAGTGCCTTCTTTAAAGAAAGCTACACATACAGGAAAGTGCACACTTTGTGAGTGGATAGCCTAATGATTTTTTTGCAAACCAAATACACCCATATAACCAGCACCCAGATAAAGTAAAAGAACATTGTCAGCACTCCAGAAGACACCTTCATGCACCCTTCCAGTCACTGTGCCCCCTCCCCCAACAAGGATAATCACTGCCTTGAATTTTAATAGCAGATTCATTTTTCTTGTTTTTGTATTATATATAGAAAATTATACAGTATCATTTTTTGTGTGTCTGATTTCCTTTGTTCAACATAGTGTCTTAAGATTTATCTATATAGTTGTAGTTTGTTTTTATTGCTGCATGTAGTTGTGAATATATAACTATTATTTATCCATTCTACTGTTAGTGGACATTTGCGTAGTTTCTATATAATGCTATTATGAACATTCTAATATGTATTTCTTGAGTTATGTATCTACACATTTCTTTTGGTGATATATCTGGGAGCAAAATTACTGGTCAGCAACATATATATGTTCAGCTTTAAGCAACAATGGCAAACAGTTTTCTAAAATGTTTGTATCAGGCTATATTTATAGTATGCGAGAGAGTTCTAGTTGCTCCACATGTTTCCAACACTCGTTTTTTTCCCCCCATCTTTTTCATTTTTCCAATTCTGGTGGGTACAAAGTAGTGTACCGTAATGATTTTACTTTATATTTCCCCAATTAATGAAGTTGAGTACTTTTTCATATGTATATTGGCTGTTTGGTTATTTTCTTCTGTGAAGTTCCGGTTCACTTCTTTGGCCCACTTTTCTGTTAGCCTGTCATTTCCTTTGATTTGTGGGAGTTCTTTATATATTCAAAATATGAGTTCTTCATTGATGATGGGTATTGCAACTATTTCTTCTTCTATGAGGTTTGTCTTTTTACTCTCTTAATAGTGCTTTTAATGAACAGAAGTTTAAGTCTTTAAAGTAGTCTAGTTCATCATTTATGTTTAGTGCTTTTTAATTCTTGTTTAAGAAATATTTATCTACTTCAAGAATGTTTTATCTTCTTAGTTTTTCTTCAAAAGCATTTTTGCTTTACCTTTAGATTTAAAATTTCAGTCTGTATTTACATATTATGGAGTTTTGCAGTGCTTTTGGACTCAGTTTGTATCTGGAGACAGAAAAAATGAGGTGGACTTAGGCCGATGACCGTAATTATGTACTTTCTATAAAATACTCCCTTAAGAAAACAGTGTGTTTATTCATGTTCACCTTATGTGCAGTTTTAATGTACTACTTTAGTTGTTTGTTAGTTTGCCTTTAAGGAGAGTCTACTAGAGTATTAAGGGAGGAATTTGGGGATGAAGAGATAAATGTTATGATTTTTAATATTTTAAGCAATAGTATTCATAAATAAGTTTATTCATGAAATACACAATTTTGTATTCACAGACACAATCCCTGTTACTTCATTGGGCATCATCTTTAAAGCTTAGGATTTTAAATATACCTTTTTTTTTAAATTGAGGGAAAAATTAGGTTTTAACTTTTGTCACCAAATCAAAATAAAATGCTAGCTATTTGAAAATTATTTTTATAAACTTCTTTTAAATTTTAAGTAAGATTTCTTGTGCAAGTTATGAACATTTATGAGGTCTTCAGTTATTCTTTTTATTGTTCAAAAATGCATTCACTATATGTTCTGATTATGGGCTATGATGTTGTAGAAAAGTGTTTTTTCATGCCCTGATATTTTAGTTTTTATCTTGTCCATAATGTATATTATTAACTTCATGATTATTATATTACTTAATTTTATATTTATATTTCCTAATGAAAGTAATTGCCTATTTAAAAGTGTTTTTTTGTCTCCCGTTACAGTGCTGAAATTAAAGAAAGGTGATTGTAATAACTCTTCACTAAGCATTTAGATATTTTTCACTTGCCAATTGCATTTTTTAGTTTAAAGCATCAAATTAAGTATTATTTTATCCTGGCTTTTATTTTAATTCATGCATTTAAAAACTGAAATTCAGATAAGAGATAGTTTGAAAATAAATTCAGTATATTATTTATGAGTGGAGCAACACATTAGCATTGGGTTCACAATAGATCATATCGCTTTATTCCATCTTACAAGCTTAGCAGCACAAACAGAATAATCAACATATTATTTGGCTGTCATCTGCTGAACAGAAACCAGAGATCACAAGGAGGTTTTCCCTAGCTGTGGTGATGGCCTTTTTGTTCCAAGCCCCCATCTGGGAGGGCCATGGTGTGTTATCATATGGAACGCGGGGTTTTCTGTAATCTGCTTAGCTGCACTGCAGTTTGAATCTTCATTCCATGTTTGTGTAATTTATAATTTTAATGAGACCATGGCTCTTGTGGGCTTTGAAATATATTAAAAGCTCTTTTGTGCATATGCTTTTGTTCTTGCTTAATAGGCTCAGTGTATTTAAAACTGATGAATTTTTATTCATGAATTTGGATGTCTGGAGATTAACTCAGACTGAATATCATTGCACTCATCTATTGATGGTTAGAAAGTTTTTTTGTTATTATTATTATTTTGCTTTTGTGTGTGTGTATGTGTAATGTCTATGTGATACTTGTAACCAGAAAAGGAATAAACCTACATAATTGTAAAAGGCTAAAAATAAGTAGCATGACTAGGTCATAAAAAATTGATTTAAATTTTATTCATCTTATTTATTGATACTCATATCTCAATTTCATCTTTAGCCTCAGTATTACAGATAGATATTATAAAGGAATGATTATGAAAAAGCAACTTTTAAAATGAGTTAGTACCTTAAGAACATGTTTATATTAAAATCATATTCCAGTGTGTGACAAAGATAGACTTTGTTTTAGTTGTATAGTATCAGTTGTCTAGTCATTCTAAATGAATAATTACATTTCCTGAATTACATTATTTTCAGTTTTACTTATTTCTATAAATGCTTTTTATTAAAGGATTTTTTAAAAGAATTTCATTGATGATATGATCAAAAGACTAATAGAAAAGCAGCCTACTAATAATTTATAATGTTGACCTTTTTATTTTGTGAATATTCTGAAGTATACTAAATGTCTCAAATCTCTGTAGTTATTACTTAAATGTACTTTAAAAATTTGAATGTAACCAATTACAATAACACCATAGAAAAAAGTTCATCCCTTTCTAGATCCAAACATGTTTTTTGAAGTTGCTATCTTTTGAGCTCAATGAGGGAGTAACACAGACCTCACTAGTCTTTTATGAAATTGCTCAAGAGACAATTTTTTTAAAAACCTGTATTTACTGGACTAAAGCATTTTGTAACTACATCACATCATTCTTTTTTTATACATCGATGGTCAGCAATTTGGCAGGTCTTCTTTCACCACCATCCTTAAACTGAAAATATGAAGTAGAAGCTAAAATGACAGGATTTTATACTTTCTTTACTAAGCTTATCTACCAGATTTGACACTGGAATGTTTGTTCTTCCATAATTAACCCTCTGCTTCAGTATTTTTATTAGTTGCACCATTTCATTTGGCTTAGGAACATAGGAAAATATAAGACCTGCTAAAGTGGTGCTTTCCATTAGAAACATAATATGAATCACATAATCAGCTATAACCAAAATATTTTCAATACGTAATCAATATAAACATTAACAAAATACTTTCCCTCTTTTGTATTAAGTCTTCAGAGTCCAATGTGTGTTTAATACTTATAGTACATCTCAATTTGGACTAGTCATCTTTTAAGTGGCCTCATAAGGCTAGTGGCCACCTTATTGAACAGTATAGTTCTAAAGTATTACACAGTTTTAACAAAATATCATAACAAAAATATGTACTTTTTACATTTCTGATTTTTCTAGTAATATCCTAGTCAAGGTAACCAAAGAATATTCATGTGCTATGTAGTTGAAATTACATAAAGTTTTTTATAGCACTAATACCATTGGTTTATATCTTTCTGTGTGATACATAAAATCCAATTGTGTCACCTGACTTTTGAGTACTTATCAGACATTGTACAGATATGTTTAAAGAGATTGTGATGATGACGTGATAATGACTAATGTAATAAATGTGGAGTGTTCCTCAAAAATTGTCGGCAAATCAAACTTGTCAAGTAAGCCATATTGCAAGTATACTTAGGAGTTTAGTTTTACAAGAATTCCATCGCAAATCTTAGTACTTTTTTTTTATATAAAACTTACAACGTCTTCACATCCTTAGATTTATTCTGGACAGATGTTTGTGTAAATGTATATGAATCAGTCTTTTCATATAAATTTGCTTAGATAAGCTGGTATAGCTGTTATGTCATGGGTGGAAGAAGCTGATTATAAAATATCATTTTCCTAATTTCTCTAGAATTCTATACATTTAAAATGTTCTGTACATATTTAAATGTGAGGAGAGATTTCTTCACTGATAACTATTTTAAAAACATATAGTTAAGAATTATAAAACCTTGAATTACAATTTATTTGACTTGATTCAAATATTTTAAAGTATAGTTATAAAATGATCAAGGAAATTTATATAAAATACTGTAGGCATACATATTTTATTTAAAATGGTCATACATAATTGACTTTGCACAAGTATGAGTTAGAGAAAACCATATTTATGAAATCTCTGAGTTTTTCACATTTTCTAAATTTCGAGGGCTATGACCTAATTTTATGTAATATCATTTTTAGTTATTAGCCAATGCCTGCTGTATTCTTGGACTCACATTTTTATTGACTACTCCCTGTGACTCCTGCATTTAAAGTGTTGGCACAAAATGTTAAACTATTCTTTAAACAATACCTCTAGTTTCTTGGAGATGATAAATCCGTCCATTGATTTCCTAATTTTATTATGTACACAGTCAATTGTAATCCAAGATTACAGCAAACAAGATGTTAATTTCTAGACATAATCTATGTACATTTCAATTACAGAGCATGATTGTTATAGAAGCACAGAATAAAAAAGAATAACATTTGTGCTATCCTCACAGGAGCTGTCAATAAAAGATGTAATAGGGGATTTAGAAATCTGGAAATGGCCAACTAATTTATGTGAATCTATTTTATTTCAGCTAGAAAGACCAAGCTCTTTTTCGTCTGCACTGCATATTGCAGAGCACAGGCTGTCTATACAAAACCAGGCGGCTGCATATGGATAGTCCCCTGATATCATTCACTTGCTGTGTAATCTTATTATGCAAAGTTCTAATCTTCACCTAGAATGAATGCCTCTGGGTCAGAATATAGTCATATCAGGGTTTTTGAGGTCATGTTTTGTGATCCTTAGCTTATTCTTCTAAGTAGGGCTGGGATTTAAAGGGTATTCCCCAGATACTAGCAGAGATAGACAGCAGAATCTGCTGCCTTTTTGGAAGACAAGACCAACATGAGGTCCCTGGTAGGATTAAACTTGATTTGTAGCTGTAGGATTTTTTAACAGATGTATTATTGGACAGGGAATAGGGGGCCAACCAGCACAGCAAAACTGAATCACGACTGACATTCTCAGGGAGTTTGCTGCCGGCTAAAACAGCAGCTGCATGTGGATTTGACTTCTTTCAGGTGAAGCGACTTCCAGTCATTTGGAAAGGATGGGATGAAAAGGAACCTTGGTGATAATTTTGATGTCTGCAAGATTTAGTACCAGTGTAATGGGATTATCGGTAACACCTTCACTGCAGAAAAAGCCACCTGGCGCTATAACTGGCAGCAACTGAGAACTAATCCTTTCCCATCTCTTGGATGTCATTCATGAAGCTCAAAGCTATTTCTGCCCTGCTAACTGTGATTAATTTTATAAACAACAACAACAAAAAATCAGGTCATCAAGGCAAAGAATATGCTCTTTATTATTTATAATATGTAACCTTATGTTAAGCTATATGACTTAAAATTATGCAAGACATATACAAACTAAGCTATATGATTCAAAATTTATTAAGCTATTGAAATAGAAAAGTTGATCAATGATGTCTTGGTTTTTTTAATTGAATGGCAAATTATTTACTATTGGTAACAATTCATATTTCAGATCAAATATTAATTTAAATACTTTTATATTCTTTTGGCTATAGAGCCACTATGAAATTAATCAAAATGTCTAGCTGTAAGGAATTGAAATAATATGTTTCGTCATATGTTTTACCTGTTTTTGACTGCTTCAGTTGCTACTGATGAAATGTTTTTGGTGAATAAAACATAATTTGAAATATATAGACACCTATATTTTTTGTAATGAAGGTAATGCTAGCTGAAACTGCTGATGAAAGGGCTTTTGGTGAAATATATGATTTTAATATATAAAAGTATAGAGTAAATAGGAATACTGAATGACTTATTTTTAAAAATCAGTGATTCTTAGTAACTTTTCCTTTAGATGGAGGTTTAGTTGTGTGCTTAAAAATCAGTGAGTTAGTTAATTGATTTTGTTAGCTTTTATTTCAACTAAAAACTTTATCAAGTACTTTGGCTGGAGGTGTTAATTATTTTAATATTTTTTTCTAACACGATCCAATATAAACTGAGAGAAAATGAAGTGAAATTATCCCATCAGTCACCCAAACAGTATGCAACGTAACTGCCAAGACTAGAAAAGATAATTAGTGTTGTCAGTGTTATGATCTTAGAGTACTTAATTTTAAAATATTTATTCATAGAACTTGGATTTTATCTCATAGCTCTTTTGTTTAGTAGCTGTATCTTTTAAAAAATAAATTATACAGCCTCAGTCTAAATGTTTTTAAACTTTAACATTTTAACTAAATATAGGTGACTAAAGTATTTTCTTGAAATTATAAAAATAATTAAAATATAATCAATTTTATACCTGATGCACACCATTAATGTACTACCACCTCTGTTTATGTGTAGTATCTTTTATTCTTTTCCATATAAAGTCTTTACTAGAAAAGTCAGCAAATATAATAAATTTATACAGAGTTCCCGGGTTTGGTTTAACTGGTTCCAAGCTACTGTATTTCAAATTGTATTTCCAAACTTTTACCACATTTTGAATGAATAAATGAGAAAGCTTGCCAATATTTCCAGTAAACTGCATTGTGTTACTTTTATAAAGGACGACTTTTGCCTTCTATTTGTATGTTTGCTGTTTGGAAAAATTTTTATTTTATTATGATGAAAAAAGCTATCCATGAAGTAAATAAGTGGACTAAAATCTTTTTCTTACCCTCATAATAAAATTACTTATTTTAAATCTAAAATATTTGGTTTATGTGTAATTTCACATTATTTTGCCAGGTAGGCTATTATCTCAGCATAACTTTCTATGGTAGCTTGTAGTATTATATATTTATTTTTAAAAGTAGTTTTGCATTCAAAACAGAATTTGTCTGGAAGGTTTTACTAAACCTGGTCAGTATTTACTTTTTTACTTTTTATTCAGGTATTTACTGAACAGCTCTTGAGAGTTAGTATTTTTTCCTTCTCCGTTCTAGGGGTCACTCTTATTTGTTTAGAGATGGTTATTTTCTTTAGAACGTCTCAAATAAACTCATCTGAAGTAAATTCAACATAAAACATAAGATCTTCTCAATGGTATACATTCTTTTCATAAAAATACAGGTTATTTGAATTTTAATATCTGTTGATAACTTATAAGAAATTTGGCTTATCTTAAGCTAGATACTAATTTGCAGCACAGGCAACTCATGATGTCAGTAAGACTTAAGGGAATTATTTTTGGAGATAAGAGAGTGGGATATACGATGAAATGAGAAGAAATTTTTTAGAAAGAATGATAAGTCAGGTATAACAAAAGAATAGGATGGGGCTGGGCATGGTGGCACCCGTCCCTGGTCCCAGACACTTGGGAGGCTGTAGTGGGAGGATTCTTTGAGCCCAGGAGTTGGAGGCTGATCTCTCTAAAAGCCGTTCATGAACTGTGGCACAGTGAGGGTTAGCCTATGATAATGCTAAATGATATTTCTTTTTGAATTAATATTCTTCCACTGTTACTCATACAACTGCTATATTTTGAAATAGATCATTTAATAGTTGTATTATTGGTGAATGAATGTGGATGTTTTGGTATTTTACTTTTTGGAAGGTGATGCTTTCTTATATTAAAATGATCAACTGCTTATTCTTTATAAACATAAGGTGAGTTTCAATTTTGGTTATATGTGAAAATGTAAAATTCAGAAAATACCAGTGGACTAATGAAATACATTGAAGTATTAGCATTATAATATTTACTTGATGAAAATTTATAGAATTATCCCAAAGTTAACGTTCACTTTAAAGATAATGAATGGGTAAATTTTGTCAAGTCTCTGAAAATATTGAGTATGCGTCGGTGGTCTTAAAGGACAGGACAAAGTCCTTTACTGGACTTCCTTCCTGGGAGCTTATTAAAACTATAGAATCTGCAGCCGGGTTCCCAGAGATTCTCTTTCATTAGCTCTGTGATGTAGGATGAGAATCATAGGAATCGCAGGGAGCCTGGGAATTTGGATTTTTAGTTTTTAATTTTGGTTGATATTAGGTTTTCATGTTATTTTGATGCTGCAGTCAAATTTGAAGCAGTATTCACTGCTTTAAACTTTAAAGTAATGGCAGTTATTTCCTCTGCTAATGAAACAAAATAAACAGGTTTAGTGTTTTTTTCTAATTCTTTTTGAGACAGGGTCTTGCTTTATTGCCCAGGCTGGAGTGCAGTGGTAAGATCATGGCCCACCTCAGCCTTAACCTCCTGGGCTCAAGTAATCCTCCCAAGTAGCTGGGACTACAGGTGTGCACCTCATGCCCAGCTAATTTTTTAATTCAAAATAAACAGATTTTAATAAAATCTTCATAGATTATGGGAGTATGAGTGCCTTGAGTTTGCAGTTTTAGAAAATAAAAATCTCTATACAAATCTTACAGTAGATTTAACACTTATGGATTTGAACAATTCATGAGCAGCCCTGAAGGTGATTTTGAAATGACAGGAATTTGAATTACTTTGATGGAGACTCTGCTGTTTGAGAGTGAATTATTTAGCTATTGAGCAGAGTATACTACTCAGCATAATGAGTCTTTGTTGTTCTCTACTTGTCACAATAACTTCTACCTAGGATCTTAAGTGGACATATATCTCTCAGTTACTTTTTATGCATCATTCTGTGGGGAAAATGGATTTTGTGTAAGTATTCTTGACTTTGAACATCTCCAAGGTCTCAGAAATGTCAAAATCTACTATTTTTTCTTGCCCAAATGAAGGTAAATGTGGCAAAACTATGATGTAATTTGTTTTCTCCTTCCCTATCTAACTTGTTTCTGCTCACCCTTTCTTAATGTGAACACTTCTTTAAATGCTAATTTATTCTCAAACTCTGTTCCTCTATCGGAACAAAAATACATTAATGACATTAAATCATTTCTGTGATTGCTTATACTTTAGAATGAATGAATTTATGTAAACCGATGGTCTTAACATTTGACATATATATACATATATAATGTATTTACATACTTGTATAATGTGTATATATATATTTTTCCTGTTTCTGAAACGAAATGCTTTCTCTTTTCAAAGGAATTTCAGACCTGAACAATCAGGTGGACAACTTCTTGTGACTTTGGGTATTCTGAAATTACTGTAAGTCTACTTCAGTCATTGGATCCAAATTAGAATCTTAGAATTGGATGCCTATGCCCAGAAATTTCTAAAGATGGAGGAATCTCTAATTTCTTTTCAGCTTCTGAGGTTCACTCTGCTCAATCTTTTTAGCTGGTTTTAACATCAGTCCTACCTCTATCTTTCCTATGTGTCTCTATTCCCAGATGCCTATTTTATAGTATCCAAAAATTTTTTCATTTAAATTGAGAGGCAATATGGTGTAGTATTGGATGTTAGACCTAAACAGCTTCATTTTGAATTCTGGCCTGGCCTCTAATGAGCTGCATGACTTTGAATAGTTCCTTCATCTCTCTGCTCCTCAGTTTCTTTATCTGTAAAATGAGATATCAAAGGGGCCGGGCGCAGTGGCTCATGCCTGTAATCCCAGCACTTTGGGAGGCTGAGGCGGGCGGATCACAAGGTCAGGAGATGAAGACCATCCTGGCTAACATGGTGAAATCCCGTCTCTACTAAAAATACAAAAAATTAGCCGGGCGTGGTGGCAGGCGCCTGTAGTCCCAGTTACTTAGGAGGCTGAGGCAGGAGAATGGCGTGAACCCGGGAGGCGGAGCTTGCGGTGAGCCAAGATCGCGCCACTACACTCCAGCCTGGGCGACAGAGCGAGACTCCGTCTCAAAAAAACAAACAACAACAACAACAACAACAAAAATTAGCCGTGCGAGGTGGCGGGCACCTGTAGTCCCAGCTACTCGGGAGGCTGAGGCAGGAGAATGGTGTGAACCTGGGAGGCGGAGATTGCAGTGAGCTGGGATTGCGCCACTGCACTCCAGCCTGGACGACAGAGCGACACTCCATCTCAAAAAAAAATAAATAAATAAATAAAAAATAAAAGAGGTATCTAAGTTCTCATAGGGTTGTTTTAAGGATTAAATGAGTTAATATATGTAAAGTAATGAAGAGGCTCTTAAAAGATTTCTGGGGAGGATCCTCCTATACTTCTTTTGCTGTATGACACAGTCACAATTTTTATGCTGCTTTTCACTTTTTCCCTAGCTTTTCTATTAATTATTTGAAAGAATATATAGGTTCCCCTTTAAAGAAATTGGTTCTCTACATTAATGACTCAGTTTTTTTAATGTAAATATGATAGGGAATAAAAAAAGTAACAGATTCTGAATTTTTTGGTGCCCAAGCTTCCCAGATTTTTTTCACAGCACACATGGTACATGGTAAGTTATACAACACAAAGTAGTAAATGACTGGATAAATAGGGCTGCCCAAGGCTGGCAATGGCCATTGGTCACCAAGAGTTTAGAGCAGTCACTTGGAGAACTTGTTAAAATACGGATTGCTGAACAACGCTTCCTAAGTTTCTGATTCTAATAAGTCTTGTATTTGACCAAATCAGTTTCAAGATGATGCCATATTGATGCTGGTCTGAGGAACCACAGTTTAGTAATTACTAGTTTAATGTTCTGTATCCTGGTGTGGTAGGTAGAATAATGGCCCTCCAAAGATGTCTGCATCCTAATCTCCAGAACCTTTGAATATGTTGCCTTACATGGCAAACGAGACTTCACAGGTGTGATTAAATTAAGGATTTTGAGATCATTGTGAATTATCTAGTTGGGCTCAGTGTAATCACCAGGGTCCTTAAAAGAGTAAAAAGGAGGCAGGAGAGAGAGAGAAACAGAGGAAGAAGTGACCATGGAATAATGGCCAGGGAGATTAAAGGCTTTGAGATGGAACAAAGGGGCTATGAGTAAAGGAATGTTAGTGCTTCTAGAAGTTGGGAAAGGCAAGGAAATGGATTCTCCCCTAAAGCCTTTAGAAAGAAACAGTCTTGATTTTTTAGCCCAGTGGTACCCATGTTAGACTTCTGACCTATCAACTGTAAGATTATAAATATGTGTTGTTTTAAGCAACTAAGTTTATGGTAATTTGTTGGCACCAATGGAATACTAGTACATCTGTAACCAGTTCCGTTTACCAGTTCGCTTTGTGCTAAAAGTTCCCAGTCTCAGCTCATAAGAAAGAGTAAATAAAAACAAGAGGCAAGAGCTCCCTTATTTTTCTACCATCAAACTGACAAAACTACCAGTATGTTAACTCATATTTTTCTTCCCTTTTATTACATTGGAGGAAGTACTAAACTTCTATGAAAACCCAATCTGTCGGCCTTTGTTTGATCCCATTCTCTATTGCCCTGTTTTTTTAAATTGAAGATATATATATAATTTAGCATCTAAATATATATATTTTAATTTAGCATCTTTAAGATGGAACACACTCCTTCAATGATTAGGAGAGACACAAGATAGAAATAATGGTTTTATTACTTACAGGTCCTGGATACATGACATACCTGGAGGCCATACACGGAGGTCAGGGAACACTTCAGAGGGAAGGAGAGGGAGAAAGATCCTCGGGTTAACACCTTCATTGAGGTCTAGGGCCTTATCCAAACAGGTTTCTCACTGGGAGATTTTTCTTGAACACTTAATAATTGTGTACAGTTATGGTACAGTATGATTTTGATACATATGTACAGTGTATAATGATCAAATCAGAGTAATTAACATATCTATCACCTCAAACATTTATCCTTTCTCTGTGTTGGGAATATTAAAAGTCTTATAGCTCTTTGAAAATATGCACTAAATTATTGTTAACTACAGTCACCCTGCAGTGCAATAGAACAGTAGAACTTATTTCTCCTATATAGCTGTAATTTTGCGTCTGTTAGCCAGTCCCTCCTTATCATGCCTCACACTTTCCAGCCTCTAATAATCACTATTCTATCTCCTTCTGTGAAATCAACTTTTTTAGCTTTCATGTATGAGTGAGAACATATGATATGTGTCTTTCTATGCCTGGCTTATTTCACTAACATAATTGTCCTCCAGGCTCATACATGTTGCCTTGTTTGACAGGATTTCATTGGTTTTTGTGGCTGAATAGTATGCCATTGTGTATATATACCACATTTTCTTTATTCATTCATCTGTTGGACATGTAAGTTGATTCCATATCTTGCCTATTCTGAATAGTGCTGCAATAAACATAGGAGTGCAGACATCTCTTCAACATACTGATTTCCTTTCTCTTGGATATACACCCAGTAGTGGAATTGCTGGATCATATGGTAGTTCTATTTTTTAGTGTTCTTTTTTATATATGTTTTATGTCCTGTAAAATATTTTTGTTATTGTCTTAAACAGCATCAGTATCTTTATCCAAATATGTATGTATGTACTCTTCACTTCTCTTCCTTCCTTCTTGGATTTGCCTGATTCTTTTTTTTTTTGTTTTTTGTTTTTTGTTTTTTGAGATGGAGTTTTGCTCTTATTGCCCAGGCTGGAGTGCAATAGCGCTATCTCGGCTCACCGCAACCTCCGCCTCCCGGGTTCAAGCGATTCTCCTGCCTCAGCCTCCTGAGCACCTGGGATTACAGGCATGCGCTGCCACACCTGGCTAATTTTGTATTTTTAGTAGAGACGGGGTTTCTCCTTGTTGGTTAGGCTGCTCTCGAACTCCCGACATCAGGTGATCTGCCCACCTTGGCCTCCCAAAGTGTTGGATTACAGGCATGAGCCACTGCACCCAGCCCATTTGCCAAATTCTATCTGATAACATTTTGTTTTTCCTGAATTATTCCTGTTAGCGTATATTTTATTACAGTTGTGCTGGCAAAAACATTCACAAAACTTGTTTTCTAAAAGTGTTTTTATTTTTTTCTTTAGCTTTTGAGGTATATTTTCATCAGACATAGAATTATAGTTTGGTGATTTTCATACTTTAAAAATGCCATTTTATTTTATTCTGGTTTTAATTATTTCTTATGTAAAGGTAGCCATTCCATTTTGTTGAACAGACAAAATTGTTTCTTTGAAAATAAGGTAAATTTCTGACCAATTTTAAACTTTTCTCATTGTCTTTTTCAGCATCTTGACTCTACTGTGCCTGGATGTAGCTGTGTGTTTTGTGTGTATCCTGTTCATGGTTTGTAGAATTTCTTGAGTTTGTGAGTTAAGGTCTTTCATCAATTTGGAAAGTTATCTACCAATATTTCTTCAAAATATTGCTTCTGTCCTATTCTCTGTTCCTCTCCTTTAGGTCTCTGATTATATTAGTACTGTTTCTCCTGGATTGCCTACCTGCTTTCCTCTTTGTCCTTCAGTCTTACTACTTTCTCCCAACTTGCATTCCAGTTCACTTGTCTCCTGTTAGGCTGAGCCTAGTAGGCAGAATCTGCCGGTATATTCATGTAATGCATTAATTTTAGTTATATTTTATTTTGTAGTATTGTGTTGTGTATAATTTCCATTTGATTTTTAATAGATTTTAGGTCACTGCTGAACTTTTGTCTTTCCTTCTGTTTTTTTTAATGTTAATCATAGTTATTTTAAAGTGTTCATATGTTAAGTGCAATACCTGAATCACCTGTTGCTCTCTTTCTGTTTTGTACTTTTTTTTCTCTTGGCTTTCAGTCATTTGATTCTATTTTATAATGTGCTTTGATTGAATGCAATCATTTAGTACTATTTTATAGCATGCTTATAATCTTTGGATTAAACTAAAAACTGTAGTAGCCCAATTTTTTAAATGGGCAAGGTGTTTGAGTAGATATTTTTCAAAGAAGATATACAAATGATCAATACACACATGAAAAAGGTGCTTATGAATATTTTGTTGTTAAGGAAATGCAAATCAAAGCCACAGTGAGATTCATACACACTGGGATGGCTACAATCAAAACATGGATGGTAACAAATGTTGGCAAGGATATGGAGAAATTGGAAACCTTATGCATTACTAGTAAAAATGTACAGTGGTGCAACTGCTTTGGAAAACAGTTTGGGCGTTCTTCAGAAAGTTAAATGCAGCATTATCTTTAATGGCATTTTCATCAGAGGAATCTTTTCTGATTCATCTTAAAGAAAGTATGCCTCACCCGTTATTCTCTATCACTTTACTATATTTTTCTTTACAGAAATTACTTAATGTATTTATGTATTTATTTGTTTACTTTGTGTATCTATGATATCTGCCCCACTATACTATAAGCTGTATGAGAGAAGGCATCATGTTCACTATTGTATTCCCAGGGCTGAACACAGTATCTGGTACGTAGTAGTAGCTCAGTAAATATTTGTTGAATGAATGAAGTCACCCTTTTTTCCCCAAGTGTTTGTTTTTTAGAAGTTTTATTCTACAAAAAAAGCTGAAAAAAATAGTGCAATGCACATTTGTATACACTTCACTTGGATTTAACAATGAACATTTGCCACATTAGCGTTCTATCTTCCTCCATATGTAATATATCCGTATGTGTGTATATATATGTGTGTATCAATTTGTCTTCATCTCTCTGTATCCATGATTATTAGCAGTAGAAGTGAACCATATGAAAGGAAGTTGCAGTCATAGCATTTTTCTCAAAATAATTCCTTGTTTATCTCCTATGAACAAGGTCATTCTCCTACGTAGCATATTGTTAAGAAATTTAACACTGAAACAGTGATATATTTTTATGTACAATATTCAGATTTACCCAGTTGTCCCCATGTCTTTTATAGCTTTCTTTTTCCTTTTGCTCCAGGATCCAATTCAAGATTTCATATTGTGTTTGGTTGTCATGTCCTTCTATTTTCTTGTAATTGAAAATAGTACTTTTAGTATAATTTTTCCTTTCATTAAATTTATACTTTTTAAGTGTTCAAGCTGGTTGTCTTGTTGAATGTCTGCAATATGGATGTGTTTTGATTGTTCATGATCAGATTTAGGTTACACATTTTTGGCAGGAATGGTACACAGATGATGATGTACTTGTCATTCCATTGGTAAGAGGCCACATGATATCAGTATGCTGCTAAATTTGGTCATTGTGTTAAGTTAGTATTTACCAGATCTTCCCATTGGAAAGATACCTTGTTCCCTTTGTAAAAAAAAAAAAAAAAATTATCTACTTTGATACTTTTCAAATATCTTTTTGACCAACAATGTTTCACCCAGTATATTTTAGCATGCATCAGTGGCCCTTGTCTGAGTCAATTATTACACTGGTGGTAATTTTACCATTCCTTCTACATTTATTAGCTGTCATGTTTTGATGAAGAACTTTCCCTATTCCCAACACATGCATCTTTTTAAAAATTTCATTTTTAATTTAATGTGTTATCAATTACTGTTACTATTTTTAGGCTTATGTTGTCTCAAATTTAATGTATTATCAATTACTGTTATTATTTTTAGGCTTATATTGTCCCACATTTGGCCATTGGATGACCCCTCAGAATGGTTCCTTTGTTTGCACCAGTCTTTGAGCACTGACTGTTCTGCACTGGTGGAGCATGATACTTAGAAACCAAAAATGTGGGCACTAAGTGTGCTCATAAGTACTATAGTGTCATTGCTTCTTACAATGGCCTTTTCACAGTGGACAGAGCTAGGATGACATTTTTTTATAGGCAAACAGACAAATATATACATGCTTATTTAAGTAAATTTGTTTTGATAACTCAAATTCATCCTTAAGATCCCTTTCCATATTTGTTACTTCTTTTTCTCACAGTGAGAAATGACTTAAATATTTGCTCACTTTTACTATCTGAAATATACATAAAATACTACAACCAACAACTACTAAGATACATTCTAGATTCACTTTCAATGTTTTTCCTTTTATATTTAGTTGGTATGTAATAATTGTATGTATTAATGGGATACAGTGATATTGTGTTACATGTATACAGTATATAATGATCAAATCAGGGTAATTAGCGTAGTCATCACCTCAAACACATCATTTCTTTATGTTGTGAACATTAAAGATCTTCTTGTACCTTTCTGAAAATATACAATAAATTATAGTTAACCGTATTCATCCAACAGTGCTGCAGAAGGCAGTAACTTATTCCTCCTATCTAGCTGTAATTTTGTGTCCATTAACCAACTTCTCATTCTCCCCTCCTACCTCCCCTTCCCAGCCTCTGATACCTATAATTCTACACTATACTTCCATAGGCTCAATATTTTTTTAAGCTCCCACAGATGAGTGAAAACATAAGGTATTTTTCTTCCTGTGCCAGATTTATTTCTCTTAACATAATGTGCCCCAGGGTCATTCATGTTGCCTTGAATAACAGGATTTCATTCTCCTTGTGGCTGAATAGTATTCCATTGTGTATGTATAGCATGTTTTCTTTATCCATTCATCTGTTGATGGATATTTCGGTTGATTCTGTGTCTTAGCTATTGTGAATAGTAGCTACGCTGCAATAAACATGAGGATGCAGGTATCCCTTTGATATACTGATTTCCTTTCTTTCGGATTAATACCCAGTAGCAGAATTGAGAGAATTATTTTTTGATTCTCTAGAGTTTTTAAAGAAACCTCCACACTGTTTTCCATGACTGTACTAATTTACATTCCCACTAACAGGGTATATGAATTTTCTTTTCTCCACATCCTTGCCAGCACTTTCTTTGTCTTTTTTGATAATAATCAATCTAACTGTGGTAAGATGATACCTGATTATAGTTTTGACTTGCATTTCCCTGAAGATTAGTGATGTTGAGCATTTTTTAATATATTTGTTGGCCATTTCTATGTTTTCTTTTGAAAAATGTCTATTCAGATCATTTGCCCACTTTTTAATTGGGTTATTTGTTTTTTTGCTGTTGGGTTCCTTGTATATTCTAGATATTAGTCCATGTCAGATGCATAGTTTGCAAATATTTTCTCCCATTCAACATGTTGTCTTTTTACTTTATTTTCATTGCTGTGCAGAAGCTTTTTAGTTTAAATCCGTTTGTCTATTTTTGTTTTTTCTTGCCTGTTCTTTTGATTTCTTAGCCATAAAATCTTTGCCTAGACCAATGTCTTGAAGTGTTTCCCCTATAGTATTATAGTTTGATCTTATTTATAAGTCTGTAATTTATTTTAAGTTGATTTTTATATATGGTTAGAGATATGGGGACTAGTTTTGTCCTTCTACATGTGGATATCCAAATTTTCCAGCACTATTTATTGAAGAGATGTCCTTTCTCCAGTGTATGTTCCTGGTACCGTGTCAAAAATCAGTTGGCTGTAAATACATGGATTTATTTCTGGGTTCTCTATTGTGTCCCATTGGTCTATGTGTTTTTATACTAATACCATGCTGTTTTGGTTACTATAGCTTTGTAGTGTATTTTAAAGTCAGGTAGTGTAATACCATCAGCTTTATTCATTTTGCTCAATATTGCTTTGGTTATTTGGGGTCTTGTGGTTCTGTATGAATTTTAGGATTGTTTTCTAATTCTGTGAAAAATGACTTTGGTATATTGATAGAGATTGCATTGAATCTTTAGATCAAATTGGGTAGTATGGTCATTTGAACAATATTAATTCTTCCAATCCATGAGTATGGGCTGTCTTTCCATTTTTATTTTTTATGTCCTCTTCAATTCTTTCAGTGTTTTTGTAGTTTTCATTGTAGAGGTCTTTCACCTCCTTGGGTAAAATTATTCCTAGTTATATTTTTAATGTTTTATAGCCATTTTAGGTGGGGTTGCTTTATTGATCCCATTGATTTCTTACTCAGCTAGATCATTCCTGGTGAATAAAATGCTACTAATTTTTGTATGTTGACTTTGTATCCTGCAACTATATTGAATTCATTTATCAGTTCTAAAAGTATTTTTGGTGAAGTCTTTAGGTTTTTCTATATATAAGATCATGTCATCTGTAACCAGGATAGTTACTTCCTCTTTTTCAATTTGGATGCCCTTTATTTCTTTATTTTGCCTAATTGCTATGGCTGTGACTTCCGTTACTATGTTGAATAAGAGTGGTGAAGGTGGGCATCCGTGTCTTGTTCCAGATCTTAGAGGACAGGCTTTCAGCTTTTCCCCCATTAAGTATGATATTAGCTGTGGGTTTGTCATATATTGCCTTTTATTGTTTTGATGTATGTTCCTTCTTTGCCTAATTTCTTGAGAGTTTGTATCGTGAAGTGATGTTGAAATTTATCAAATGCTTTTTCTGCATCTATTGAGATCATTGTATGGTTTTTGTTCTTCATTCTGTTGATGTGCTATATATCACACTGTTTGATTGGCATGTGTTGAACCATCCTTGCATCCCTGGGATAAATCCCATCTGATCGTGGTATATTATCTCTTTAATGCGTTGTTGGGTTTGGTTTGCTAGTATTTTGTTAAGGATTGTTGCATCTGAGCTCATTGGGGATTTTGGCCTACAGTTTCTCTTTTCCTGCATCTGGTTTGGGCATTAGGGCAATGCTGACCTGGTAGAATGAATTAGGAAGAATTCCCTCAATTTCCAGTTTTTTGGAATAGTTTGAGAAGAATTGGTGTTGGTTCTTTTTTATATGTTTGGTAGAATTCAGAGGTAAAACCATCTGATGCTGGGCTTTTCTTTTTTGGGAGACCTTTTATTACTGGCTTCATCCTTTGCCAACTTTGTGATGATAATAAGCAAGTTACTTTACTACTCTTAGGCTTTTTTTTTCTTGTCTATAAATTGAGGATGGTAATAATATCTATCTTACAGAGATAGTATATGTAAATCTTGACATGTTAAGCAGATGTTACATATTATTATCGATATATTTTAATAAATTTGATCTGAGAACAGTATATTGTAGCCTAGGCCTAAGAGTTAGGCTATTAGTTAAGAAATGCATGATACATAGTTGTAACAGTTAAATAGTAAAGGACAGATATTAGAAATATTTTAGATGAACAATATTTTAAAATTTTATATAGCTTTAAAAAATCTTTAAATGGTTCTTTATGCTGTTGTTTCATAGTATTTATGTGTTCCTTTTGTTACATCAGTAGTTAATAGCTCACAAATGAGTGTATCTTTTTATAAAGTACTTTGACATACATTGCTGAATTTGATTCTAATAATCATTCTATGAGAGTATTTCTACTAGGCCCCAGAAGGGTTAAGTAATTGTTGAAGATTATACAAGTTAGTAAAATAACCAATGTGAAACTTGAATCTCCATATTCCTATTCTAGTGATTTCTCCATTATTTCCTATTACATGGCAAGAAGTAATATATAGCAAGGAACTTTTATTAGTCCTTTGAAAGAGTTACTATCTTTTTTAAGCATCTGCCTTAATAGAAGAAACAACCAAGACATGGAAGGGGACAGACTAGTTTATAATCTACTAATTATATAATTCATATGTAGACCCAGTGACATTTGAATATAAACTTTGGTAAATCAAAATATTTAGTGGCTACAATTTGCCATTTAAAATATCATTAGAACTGATAACAAACTCTTGGTTTCCTGCACCAAATTGTATTAGGCACTTAGTACATTTTGGGTGATTGTAAAATATTTTACAATAGTTATTTCTTAAGTGTTTTTAAATAGTATTGATCATGAAACTTTTTGAAATTTACCATCAGGCCAATGGTGGCAGAGTCTACATAGAACTATGCTTCGTGGTGTTCTGGGGAAAACCTTTCGACTTGTTGGCTATACTATTCAATATGGCTGTATAGCTCATTGTGCTTTTGAATACGTTGGTGGTGTTGTCATGGTAAGTTTTTATGTTCAAGAATATTCATCTTAAATATATACTTTCTTTCAAATGGAAGGAAAGTGTGTTTTTCCTTTTGAAAACCTAGTTGAAGTTATTTAATGACTAAACTGTGAAAGTTAAAACATAAAATCTTTCTAAATATTGGAATAATAAGAGAGTGTGTTTGAATTGGCACTGATAGAAGGTATAAGGACCATTACTTAAATATTTTCTGTATTCTGTTTCTAATGGGCACAAAGGGTCCTTTTGAATAGTATAACAATAATAGTCATTACCATTTATTGAATCCTATTTACTGTGTTTCAGGATATGTTTGATGTTTTACACTTACTAACTCATTTAATCTTTTACACTTCTTTGAGATACTTACTAGTAATCCATTATACACATGAGGAAATGAACTGAGAAAGCTTAAGTAATTTACTTGTTCCAGGTCCCACAGTTAGTAAGTAACTTGAAATTTCAACACATATTTGTCCAGTTTTCAAAATTCCAGCTCATAACCACAATAACTGTAATTAAAACAAATTAATCATCTGTAATTAAGACAGATTATTCTGCCTAATGTCTATATTAAAATGTTAAAGTTTTTCCCTATCCCCAACTAATACTTTTTCTTAATATTATATTGGGAAACTACAAACTGTGGCTGTTGATTCAAGCCTTTTGTCATGTAAGTGAAAGAATAAATTGATTGACCAGCCAGTCAATTTTTTTTATTGTTGTTATTACTGTTTTTTTTTTTAAATTAGGTTTACTTTATCAGATTGACAGTCACATAACCTCCAGTTAAGGTGGAGTAATGGAAATATATATATTTAACTGAAATTTCCCTTCTTTTTTTTTTTTTTTGGAGACAGGGTCTTGCTCTGTTGCCTGGGCTGGAGTGCAATCAAGTGATCTCAGTTTACGGCAGCCTCTGCCTGCTGGGCTCAAAACAATTCTCATGCATCAGCCTCCCAAGTAGCTAGGACTACAGGCGCACATCACCATGCCTGGCTAATTTTTGTATTTTTAGTAGAGATGGCGTTTCACCATGTTGGCCAGGCTGTGCACGAACTCCTGGCCTCAGGTGATCTGCCTACCTTGGCATCCCAAAGTTCTGGGATTATAGGTATGAGCAACTGTACCTGGCTGAAACTTGCCTTCTTGATTTTTTTGTAAGTTAGATTGGTACTTCCAAAGGTAGCAAACAAACTGTAATTGTATTTCCTCCTATTTCTGCCTGAGTAGGAACTTTTGAGTAAAAAGTTTTATTTACAAATAGAGTAAATGGAGACTGTCGGATTTAGATTTTTAAAGTGGCGATGATAGTTTTTTCTGATTCTGAGGTAGAGTTTGAGTATCCCTTATCTGAAATGCTTGGGACCAGAAGTGTTATGGATTTTAGATTTTTTTGGATTTTGGAATATTTGCATATACATAATGAGATATTTTGGGGATGGGACCCAAGTCTGAACGCAAAATTCATTTATATTTCATATGTACCTTATATGCATAGCCTGAAGGTAATGTTATACACTATTTTAAAGAATTTTGTGCATGAAACAAAAATTTTGACTGCATGTTGGCTGTGATGCATCACATGGGGTCAGGTATGGAATTTACCATTTGTGGTGTCATGTAGACACTCAGAACATTTCAGATTTTAGAGCATTTAAGACTTCAGATTTTTTATTAGGGACACTCAACCTGTATATATCAAGATTATTGTTTTGAGACATACAAATAGGAAAATCTTTAATTGCTTCATTGTAAAGATGGGTTCTATTTAGGTTGCCAGGTTTGGTCTTGAACTCCTGGCCTCAAGTCATTCTTCCAAAGTTTTGGGATTACAGGTGTGAGCCACCATGCCTGGCCATGAAAATCTTTAAAGTCCATCTCATCATGCTAGTATTTTTCAGTAGAACATTTAAGTTGCAGCCCCATGAAATGAGTAAGCTATTCTCTTGGAAGAGGAAGATGGGCATAAGCTCACTGAGAATAGTATAATACCATTTAGTAAATCATCATCATGTTCACTGGATTATATCTGATAGTAATAAGAAAATGTATTATTCTCCCATTCATTCAACCAATATGTATGGTTTATCAATTTTGTACCAAACATTGTTCTTGGCTTTGGTTATATAGCTAGGAACATGAGAGAGATCTCTGCCTTCATAGAACTGAGATTCTATAGGGTGGCCTAAATTTGGAAACATAGGTAATGTTGTTTTATTCAGGCATTATAATGTGAAAGCAATAATCCATTTATAATGTATTTGTCTATATTTCCAGACTTAGTGGCTACTCTAGAGTTGAACTTACTTGAGAACTGCCAAATTTTCATGAATCATCCCCCAAGCTTTAGGAACATTTGCTTGATTTTCTTTCTTTTAAGCTTGCTTAAAAGATTTATGTTAAATTTAAAAGAGATTTTGAATTTAGATTACAAATTACCTCTCTTTTCAGTGTTCTGGACCATCAATGGAGCCTACAATTCAAAATTCAGATATTGTCTTTGCAGAAAATCTTAGTCGACATTTTTATGGTATCCAAAGGTAAATTTCTGTCATGGATATATTAAATTTACAGTGAAAATACACACACACATTGTGGCTTTTCTGCAGTTCCTTAACTTTATCTTTAAAACCTCTTTCATAAATAAACATATTAATAACCAGCTAGATAAAATTTTGAGTCAAATATTCTCTTTCAGTTTGAGAAATTTTAATAGTTTCTCAAACATATGCAGTGTCTTGGGTCATTGTATCTCTTGCATCATTTTGAAAAATAATTAGCAGTCCCTTACAATATACATGTAAGCTTAACTTTTTTAATTGGGCTTTAGAATATTTTGAGTTAAGAACTAGGAACTTAGGGATTACATTACAGATCCAAATCAATGTTTTTGTTCTTTAATTTTAAAAATAATCCTGTAGTTCTATTGATTGCTATCTTACTTTATATGTAGTCTATGATGACCGTTTGATGGTTTTTATTTTTTTAAATTTTCTGATATACATTTTTTGGATGAGGTCTTGCTCTGGCTCCCAGGCTGGAGTGCAGTGACACGATCTCAGCTCCCTGCAGCCTCAACCTCCTGGGCTCCAGTGATCCTTCCCCTTAGTCTCCCAAGTAGCTGTGACTACAGGTGTATACTCGCCGCGCCCAGATAATTTTTGTAGTTTTTGTAGAGACTGGGTTTCGCCATGTTGCCCAGGCTGGTCTCAAACTCCTGAGCTCAAGCAATCCGCTCACCTCAGCCTCCCAAAGTGTTGGGATTACAGGTGTGAGCCACCGTGCCCAGCCCATTTGATGATTTTTAGATTACATCATTGTATATGGCTGAGAACCAGGAATTGTATATATTATGAGTCTCCTGATTAATTATATTAAGTTGAATAACTCCTGGGCAAATATTGTGTGTCACTAAACCTTTTAAAGTCCTATTTCACAGCAGGCTGAGGCAGGAGAATTGCTTGAACCTGGGAGATGGAGGTTGCAGTGAGCTGAGATCATGCCACTGCACTCCAGCCTGGGTGACAGAGCAAGACTCCATCTCACAAAAAAATAATAATGATAAAAAATCCTATTTCAAGTGGTGGTTCCAATCCTTGTGATACCCTTTATTCCAATTAACTCTATGAGAATGATTTATTCCAAATGAATGTCAAGTATTAATAATTTAATATATTTTCTAAAGAGCACCTCTCTGATACCCTAAAATTTTGAGTCCATTTGTTTTTTATAATTCTGAAAAAAATCTATGCCTGCTTTCATTTCAGTAAACTACAGATTTGATTCCCTTGAGCTAGTGTTTAGTTTATGGCATATTAAGTAGGTTTAGGCACTTCTCTTTCACTATTCACCTTTGCTATAACCTATTTCACATTACTGAAAATTGTTAAGAATACATTTCTTCACATTTACTGATCTTTCACCAGCCTTAGATTCTGCAGATAGAAACTCTCTTGGTCAACCTGTATGGTTTGGCATGCTCCCTAGGTAATTCTTCTTCAAATCTTTTACCCATAACAACTTCTATATACTTAATTGTAGATACAGGAATTATAAAATAAAACTTATATAATAGATTGTGTTGTTGCTCCCTTTTCTTTTTAACTTATATCAAATTATCCTTATATAGCCTTTGAATTAACTGGAGACCTAGCCCCACTGTAGCATGAAACCAAGCATCTGTGTTCCATGCCAGTGACATAATTTTATTCACAATAATCCTTGGGCATCCTGAATGAGGAGATGAACTTGTTGGCTGAATAGTTTTTGAATACACAGCTTGATATTTTTAAAAAAATTACTCGTTGCATTCAGATAAGTGAAACAAATAACTACATTCAGTAAATGAATTCAGATTCTTTGAAGATCTTATTTTGTACCCTATTCATCCAGGTTACAGGACAGCTCAAAATCTGGCATTTATGAGATATACCAAAGTAACTTTTAGAGCCAAGATAGCCAGCTGGTAACTTTTACTTAAGAAATATTACTGTCCTGAGTATTCTCTTTCTTTTACCCACAGCACAGAACTCAAGATTTCAGGGGAATCTTTGACCCCTGGCAAGGTGTCCTGTTGTTAGCTGCCTGTTTCTAAATGTAAAATAACCTTCCATTTAGGCAAGAATAAAAGTTTGCATATCTAGTATCTAAAGCACATGGATGTCTCTTCAGTCAACTGCACAGAACACTCAACCTTGAGACAGTCAGATTTTTACTATTGCTTATTCTTTCAACAAATAGTAGTGAGCACCTAATTTATAAGATGTACCATACATTATAGAGAATGTTAAGATTAATGAGATAATTGACACTAGTTTTCAAAAGCTTACTGTGTAGTAGAATAATAAGGATGTTTATAAATATAAATGAGAAAATTTTTAATAAGCTTCCTTTTAAAACTATTTGAAGGAGTTAAGAATCCAGCCGATATGTATTTTGATCTAAACGCTATGCATATATCTAGTTAGACTACCAGAAATAAAGTTTATTTATACTACTTTCTACAAAACAGCACGACTGAATTATGATTTCTATGTTGCCATTCGAGTGCAAAGTTTGTTTTAAGGGTCATATTGATTATTTGATCAAAGAACTTAAGCTTCATTAGACACCCATGGAAAAACGTCTCTTCCTCCAAAGCTACCCAAAATCAACTTTGATGGCGTGTTACAATCTTTGCAAATTTGTTCATCTGAACAGATCCACTGACATGGTTCTAGTTGGTTAGAAAGAAAATACCTTTATTCTGTTTTCAAAAGAAGGCAACACTGTGTTGCCTCCAAATTATAGAATGTAACGATTTGCTACCTTTCAACTCTTACCAAGAATAGCCTCAAGAGATCATCATTGTAAATACTATTTCTGCACTCTGTGTAAAATTTCTGATAAAGATGGTATCTTTTATTCTCTTATATAAGAAAGTTTCTTGTGAATTTCTCTTTGATTTAGTTGTTAGGGAAAATTTTGTCTTACCTCCCAAGCTAAATGTTATTTTATTAATTAATGATTTCCATGTAACTGGTCTTAATTTCTTCTGACTTGGCTCCCAAAGAGTTTAGAACCCATTTTAATGCTTCTATAGAGCAGTTATTAGGTTTCTGATTTCTTCATAATTTTCCTTTTATTCTTATGACTTTTAATATTATTTTGACATATGCTTCATTAAACTATTTCTGGAACTAGGTACAATTAATAAGCAAATATGTTAAATCCTTTTAAACGTGTGTTAGTCAACAGAATTCACATATTGCTCGTTTTATGCAGAAAGAGTATTGTGTTCTGTTTGACTGTGGTCATTAGTCCTACGTTCTATCTTTCTTCCTTTTCACTTTTTAGGATCTTTCTTATTTTTTATTACCAGATAGATTGTCAGTTCTTCCATAAATCATGACTTCTGTATGTAATCAGACCCTTATTGGTTTTATATGTTTGATATCTCATTTTATTTTTCAGAGTGTATATTTAGGCAGCTTTTAGCATTTTATTTTGTTGTATCTTTTGATTTTTTTTCTCAAATATAAGTTCTTTTGATATGGGTTATAGGACTTACATGCTATCATTCCTCAATTATTTGAGTTCTAGGGAAACATGGATGATGCTTTTACCTTTTTAGTGTGCTCTAGAGTCAATCAGTGCTACTGGCTGGACCGCAATATTTATTTACTTAATTTGTTAGTATTTATATAGAATTGTGTGGAGGGTTTTTTTTTCTTTTTTTGGTTCACTTGGGGTTTTTCTTGGTTTGTTTGTTTTGTGTGTGTGGTTTTTTTTTTTTTTTTTTTTTTTTTTTGGAGACATGGTCTCAGTCTGTTGCCCATGGTGGCACGATCTTAGCCTCACTGCAACCGTGAACTCCTGGCTTCAAGCAATCCTCTTGCCGTAGCCTCCCAAAGTGCTGAGATTATAGTTGTGAGCCACTGTACCCGGCCTATGTAGAATTGTTTTTCCACAATTTTGGTTCTAAGAATTTGGACACAGGAGTAAAGCATACTGGATACAATGCAAAAGATAATTCTTGTAGAATTATCTGAAAGTTTAGAATCTTCTGAAATTATCAGAAATTTTAGATAGCCTTTTTATCACTCTTATTGTTGGATTCTCACCTAAAGTATTCAGTCACAAAGGTTCTCAAAGCCAGTAAATGTGTGGAAGAGTAAGTATATGAGAGGATAAAGGTTATGGCTTTGTTTAAGTTGTCTTATAAAAGTATTAAAGCAGTGCCATGCATGTGTTTTTGCTTAATAAATAATACAGACATTTCTTTGACTTTTCCCCCTCAGAGGTGACATTGTGATTGCAAAAAGCCCAAGTGATCCAAAATCAAATATTTGTAAAAGAGTAATTGGTTTGGAAGGAGACAAAATCCTCACCACTAGTCCATCAGATTTCTTTAAAAGCCATAGTTATGTAAGTAACATTTCAATTATGTTATTTTTGGTGTCATAATTGATTAACATTAACTGAGTGCTGACAAAAGAAAATAATGTTTATTCATATTTTGAATGTAAGAAAAAAGGGCATCCAGTAGAATTTAAATGTTTATATCAAGAACAATTCAGCCGTTATATTTCATGTATTTTAGTTACTTTTAAAACCCTGCATAAACATCTTAGTAATAATTGTTACAGGCAAAATTTACCAGTGGATGCTAAAATTATTGGACAAAGTTTGAGGAGAAATAGAATTTTACATAATCTGAACTTATCTCTCCCAAAATATTTATTACAAAGGGAAAAAACCTTAGAGGTGAAACCTGTCAGGCACCACTTTAACTGAGTTATCTTCATCATCATAACACTACATATCAACATAAGGTAGCCTCTGGATTGAAGCACCAAGAAGGGCACTTGCAGGAAAAAAAAGTTACAACCTCAATCTACTCATGAGAAAACATAAGACAATATCAAATTGAGGGTCATTCTACAATATAACTGATCAATACTCTTCAAAAATGTCAAGGTCATAAAAAACATGGAAAGATTGAGGCCCTGTCATTGATTGGAACAGACAAAGGAGACATGATAACTAAATGGATTTGGGATCCTGGCTTAGAAAGATTTTCCACTATTAGGGGGAAGTCTGACAAAATAATAACATCCTATTTAAATTTTGATAATCGAAATTGTGTGTATTGAAATTGTATACAACCACCTTGCCTGTACAGCTAGAAAAAGTGCAAGAACAGTAAAATGGAAGAATGAAGAGTAGATAGAATGTGTTAGCTCCTTTCACCAGTCACATGGCTTCTGTAACAGAGCTTATGGGGAAGAGATGGCCTTTTGTTTACTCAGCATATACTCTTCTTACTTGAATAATTATAGCTTAATTTTCTACTTTACTGTAAATCTTCTGTGTCACTATCAAATTATTAATGCAGCTGTTTGTTAACTAACATTATCTCTATATTCATCCTCAATGTAAACACATAGTTGAATAATTACAATGTCATCGTAAATTTATTTTGAACCGTAATAGCCTCTGGTTGCCCTATAAGTAAGTTTGACTTTTAAATAATCAATCTTATTTATTTACCATTTTGTAATAGACTGTGGTTCAGCTGTACAAGTGTTTTTGATATTTATTACTACAATGCTAAATACGCAGTAATTGTTAACTTATGGTGATAACAGTGTTAAAGATGATAGTGTGCTGTCAGGTAACATATTTTTCTACGGACACTGTATCCTCTTCTTAAAAAGGGTTGATTTTCCATTTAGTTTCACCTTCATATGACTATTAGCATTTCCTGAGATATTCTAGTCACTTCTAAATTACTTTAGCATCATGTGTGTACTTGAAAGCAGAAATGATATCAACAGACAGAACAAATAAATAGCATCCTCTATGTATTTAAATGCCATATCATTGTTGTTGATTTCTTTTTAAGAGTTATTAGAGGAGGATGTCTGTACAAAAGGATTCAGATAAAGTCTTTGCTAAGTAATCAGAGAAGATAACCAGCACTGTAAGATGTAAATTTTTTAAATGTTCTATTCAAGGAAAATATTCATTGAATTTTGTTTTTGTTTTTAATTGATGCATAATAATTGTACATTATTTATGGGGTATAGTGTGATGTTTCAGTACGAATATACATTGTATAAAAATGAAATTAGGATATTTACCATATCCATCACCTTATGTATTTTTTATTTCCTTGTAGTGAGAACATTCAAAATCCTCTCTTTCAGTTTTTTTTTTTTTTTTTTTTTTTTTTGACATGGTCTTGCTCTGTTGCCCAAGCTGGAGTGCAGTGGCACGATCTCAGCTCACTGCAACCTCCTCCTCCAGGGCTCAGATGCTCCTCCCACATCAGCCTTCTGAGTAGCTCCTTCAGCTGTTTTGAAATACACAACACAATATTGTTAACCATAATCACCCTACTGTGTGGTAGAACACCAGTAGGGTGTTCTATTACCGAGTTTTTATATGTTTGATAAATGTGCAAATTATATGACATTGCCATTTTGTTCCAGGTGTATTCCATTCACTTTTGTTGGACAAATTTATAAGTATACAGTACATCATTCTAATAATCTTGGTCAGCACTTATTTTGTACTTCCTCCATACTGTTGAGAATCTTTTCAAAGGTTAACTTATTTAATTATCACAACAGCAACCCGATGAGTAGGTAACAGTATTTTACTGATAGGTAATCTAAAGAAGGAGGCTAAATAAATTGCCCAATTTCGAACAGTGAGAGGAAGAATTAGGATTGAAACACATATAGTGGCTTCAGAATCTGTAACCCTCACGATGCCACTACTACTTCTTTCAGAATACCCTTTGCCTATCTATTCTGTTCCTATGTCATCAAATTATACTTACTTTAAAAAGTATTTGTCTTTATTATTTTTAAAAAAACACAGGGAAGTATTTCTGATCAGGGGCAGTATTGGTTCTGAAAGACAAGCCAGTGTTTTTGAGGGTTTCTCCCTTGCCAGTTTTTCTATGCTGGGTTATTCAAGTCCTAAGAATTGTGTAGCTATTACAGAACCGCTTTAGCAAATGTGTTCCATTAATCAAGGTGATTTATAACAAAATTTCATCCAAGTTTGGAGTGCTCTGAAAACATAGCCAAAATGTTCGCAGGGTCTACCCCTCTCGTGTGTCCCTTTTTTTAGCTATTTCAGAAGCACACTGGTGCAATATTTTACGAAATGAGTTTCTTCCCCTTACCTCTGCATCCTCTAAGAAAAATCATTGTTGTTTATGAGATGAAGATCCTGCTATTCATATCTTGATTGAGCTGCTTAATAAAATGAACAATATTAAAATATGTTTTGAATTCCAGGCAAAAAAAGTTTATTCTTGTATGTAGGTGCTTCAGAAAGCAAAACACCAAAATTGTTCATTGGAACCTAGCCTGTAGAGTTTAGCATATCAAAGAAATAGCATTGTTTGTAGGTTGGCAGAAAAGAACATAAACAAATCATTGGTTAAGTGATGTAGTGATGTGGGATCATTTTATTCTTTCCAGAGTTCTTTTTTGTTTGTTTGTTTTCCATTCCAGAGTTTTAAAAGACCACATGGCAAGCAACGCTTATAAATCAGCTTTATTTTTTACTGTTAGGTATTTGGAAACTAAGCAGTTCCTATTAAGATGCTGTTGCTGGCCGGCCGCGGTGGCTCACGCCTGTAATCCCAGCACTTTGAGAGGCCAAGGCAGGCAGATCACCTGAGGTCAAGAGTTTGAGACCAGCCTGCCCAGCATGGTGAAACCCTGTCTCTGCTAAAAATGCAAAAAATTAGCCAGGCGTGGTGGCAGGCGCCTGTCATCTCAGCTACTTGGGAGGCTGAGGCAGGAGAATCGCTTCAACCTGGGAGGTGGAGGTTGCAGTGAGCCGAGATCGCGCCACTGCACTGCAGCCTGGGCAACAAGAGCGAAACTCCGTCTCAAGAAAAGAAAAGAAAAAAAAAGATGCTGTTTGCTTTCCTTATTTTGAAGGTACTGAAGCCAATAATTCTTTCCTGGGGTTATGTATGAACTGAGCATTGGCTACTGTAAAGATATGAGATTAATTTGTGACTCTCAAAAGAAACAAATTGTCATAAGCTCAGACATCTTGAGTATGTTGCCTTTCTGTATATTCTACAGGAATTCCTCAGTTTGCTGCTTGAAGCCACTGCTTTATCAGAAAAAATAATTTAGTTGGAAGTAGGAGCATGTAGCAAATAAGAAATAAATAAAATGAGTTGGCATTCTCCTATTGGTTTGCACAGCAGGCAAAATGCAAAGTAAACCTCTATTTAATTCCCTTAGGGAATGTAGGGCCAGGGCTCAGAAATACACTATAATTTTGTTATAAAGCCAATTAAAAGAAGAAGAAAAGCACTCATAATGTTTATTAGTATAATATTGTGTGATAATCCAGGACTATGCTTTTAATCCATGGGATAACTATGAAATAGGCATTTTGAAATATGGTAAATTCCTATCAACAAACATGTTGTAAAATCTGCATCTAAACAAACTCCCATGACACCACATCCTCCTATAGGGAAGAGTTGTGTATAGTTACTCCACTCTGAGCTTCATATTATTTTTTCGAACTCATTCCAGTTAGACTTTGGTCTCCACCACTTCACTGATGGTTCTTGTCAAAGTCGCTAATGACTTCTCTTGTTGTCTCTCCAGTGATCAACTCTCAGTCCTCATCATACTTGACCTATTGTTAATATTTGAAATAGTTGTTCTCAAAACCTGGTTTCACTTAGTTTTTGGGACACTGCTTTTTCTAGGTTTTTTTCCTATCTTTCTTCTGAATTTCCTTTATTGGTTCCTCCTCATATCCAAACATTGGAATGACCTTCAAACCCTGAAGTTAACTAAAGGTTCATATTTTAAACTTCTGTTGTTTATCTACACTTATACTTTAGCTGACCTCATCCTGTCTCATGGTTTTATGTACAGTACTTTTTAACTTACTCTCAAATTTATATCAAGTATAACCTCTTCCCTGAACTCCAGAGTCATGTCTAATTGTCTAATATCTTCACTTTAATGAATAATGGTCATCTCAAACTTACTGTATCCAAAGCTAAAATCCTGATTTTCTGTCCCAAAATGGCTCCTTCCATACACTTCCCATCATATGGGGAAGAAAACCCCATGCTACTTGTTCAGGCCACAAACCTTAGAGTTATCCTTACTCTCCTCTTTCACCCTACATCCAATCCCGTAGCAAATCATGATTATACCTTCTATATATAATCAGAATCAAACCACGTTTTGCCACTGTCACTGCTACCATCCATTAGTTTGCAAGATAAACTCATCTCTCTCATTTTGTTGCAATAATTTTTGAACTGTTTTCTTTGCTTATACCCTTCCGATTTTCTGGCATCTCTACCCTTTCCATTATACTCTCCACACCGCAGCTAAGGTCATCCTTTTTGATGATGATGCTTTTTAAGAGCAATTATGTCACTCTTCTGCTTAAAGACCCCAGTGGCTCCCCATCTCACTTACAGTAAAAGCCATAGGCCTTATGGTGGCCTGCAAGACCCTGCATAATCATTTTGCCTGCTGCCTTTCTTGTAATTATTGTGTCATTGGAACACAATAATGCCCATTCATTTATCTGTTGTCTGTGTTTGCTTTCTCTAAAATGTCAAAGTTGAATAGTTGTGACAGAAACTATATGGCTTGCAACACCTGGACTATTTCCTATTTGTCCCTTTTCAGGAAAAGTTTGCTGACCCCCTGATCTAGAGCATAAGATTCTTGGTGACAGGGACTCATTTTAATCGCAGTTGATTTCATATCATTTCAACTGTGATTTGGCATCTAGTAGATTTTTTAAAATTCTTGAAGGGTGGACAGATCTAGATATATATGAATAGGGTGCTAGTTTCTTTTCTACTTCTACTCCTTTTTTTCTACTAGTTTCTACTGCAAACTTGCTCCCAAGTAAATGCATGATGTTACAACTTCTCAGAAGATGTTCATGGAGCCTACCACGCTGCTGAACTGCCCAATCTGTGGTCATTCTAGTCTTCATAGACTTGAAAGCTAAGCTATTTCCAGTGATAAGACTACCTGACCACCTTATGACAATGGCAGGTGAAAGTTGTAGAAAATATTGGAATGTTCCTCTTACGGTGTACCAGGAGAGCAGAGTGCTGATTAAATGTTTCTTTTCCTAAGTGACTTCTATTTAGGACTGCATATTTTTCAGGCCTTTCTTTAAGCAGAATAAAAATTCACCAGGCTCTGAATTGACTTATCACTATGGAATACTGAACTTAGTTAAGATTAAGTCTCCTAAAGTATTGGGGGAATTGAGGTATGCTGGGCTTACCTTGTTCTCATTTTGAAGGAAGCTTTGGTGCCCCTGAAATGCTATGGTGGTTTTATTACGATGAAGGCTAAGTTGCCCTTGCAACATTCATTGCCTACTAATGAGGTTGTGTGGTAATAAGAGTTTCTGCATTTCTGTAGTCATACATGTGCCTTTTGGACATATTGAACTACTATACAGATAATTTGTTCTTTTGGTCCTTTTATTGGTTTATTGGCTTAACGATGGGTAAAGTTGTTACCTGAAGTTTATAAATTTCTCCTTCTAGGATTTTCTGTGGTTTATTGTAAAATGAAGAATCATTTTTTAAGTCTTTCAATTAAAACCTTATTTATTGAATTTTCATGTCTTAACCATAGTAGCTACCCTGTATTGAGAATAGACATATTAATAGAATATGATTATGAAAATTTCAGTGTATTCTGTGGTTAGTGTGGTTAGTGGATAGCAGTCTTTTGCTATTGTTACAGGAAACAAATCTGTACTTATTAGAAAAATCATGTTTTTACTTTTATCTGAGGGCTACCAAAGATATCTGGCTATTTAATTTAAAGGTTTTTGGTTGTCTTTGGTACCATAGATGTCAGCATTATACACAAAAGGTGAAACATTGTTCACCAAATAGTAATCCATTACCACAGCAGAGTGATGGGAGGTGAATAAGTAATGTAGTTATTTCTTATGTTTTTCTTTGTGAATTGTAGAGTATGTTAATAACATCATCATTATTACTGGCAGAAATGTAAGAAGTAGAGACAATTTTACATTTCAGAAAGGACTGATTAAGTGTTATCAGGATGTACTGGTGGTATAGTGTATTAAAATGGAAATGTAACAATATGGCAATAATAAAGCTGTTTTACCGTGTATTAGAAAATATTTAAATAAAACTGATGGACAACCTAAGAAACAATCTTACTAATTAGCATTACAAAATGGTCACTTTATATAGTTAACACTAATAGTCCTTTAATGTGTACTGTGTATTTAGGTTATAGTTTGAAACCCTGAATATTCTAAATGCTGTCTTTCTGTTTGTTTAAATGTCATTTCCCTTAGCTAAAAGTCAACCATCTGGTCTTCTATTACCACTTGTATTATAAACAGAAAAAAGTACTTCTCTGTAGAGAGAGGAATCATCAGATTGAAAGGGCTTGTGTATTATAAGCTGCTGATATACTAAATCCTTATGTCATTTAAATAGAAGAACTGCCTAATAATGTCACTTATTACAACTAGAGTATCTAAACAAGCGACTTGTTTTTTGCAGACTATAGTGATAAAAACCTGTGCTACACATCCATTTCTCAGCAACGGCTCCTAGGATAATCAATCATGGCATACTGCTAATGCCTTGATTGCAGCTGATATGGAGGAAATATGTTTACTCTTTTGCTAAAGTGAAGTTCACTGCGGAGGTGACGTGACTTTTTCATTCTATAGCTAACACAATTCTGAAGATAAATTTCACTCATTGTTTACAAGTCTGAAGTGTTTTTGTTCAGATGTCAACACTAAAGAATAATCTTTGAGGCTCCTAGACTTAAAGTGTTTTCTGATGTGTTCTCTGAATATTTTCAGAATAATTTGAGCTTAGTTTAACAGTAATATGGAGTTTATAATAATCTTATTTTGTAGTAGTATATTTTATATGTATATGTTTGAAAAGATGTATATATGAAGATCAGCATCTCTGTTGAAAGAGTAGCAGGTTGTCCTGAAATTTGTATGTGTTGCTCACCTGGAAATATTTTAACCACTCAAAAGTTATAAAGTTAGTGCTATTGGTATGAATCTAGAGAGGCAGGATACAGTTGAGTAAAATGAAAATATTATATGTATTTTTATCTGCAAGTTATCTGGGACTTCTGTACTTTAAAGTTGCTTAAAAGTCATTTGCAAAAATTAAAGAACAAAATTGTAACACAGGTATTCAGTGAAAGCATCTGAACCAGACTCCAAACTCTGTTGGTAGTAAGGAGAATATATTCCAAGTGTGATGTGGCTTCCTAATCTAAAACAATCTTTTTTATTTATTTATTTTTGTCTTTCGGAGACAGATTCTCAGTCTGTCAACCCAGGTTGGACTGCAGTGCACAATCTTGGCTCACTGCAACCTCTGCCTTCGAGGTTCAAGCAATTCTCCTGCCTCAGCCTCCTGAGTAGCTGGGACTGCAGGCGCTTGCCACCATGCCCGGCTAATTTTTGTATTTTTAGTAGAGGCAGGGTTTCACCATATTGGGCAGGCTGGTCTCGAACTCCTGACCTCAAGTGATCTGCCTGCTTCGGCCTCCCAAAGTGCTGGGATTACAGGTGTGAGCCACCGCGCCCAGGTGCTATAACAGTCTTTACTAGATCTACTGGAAAAACTGCTGTTGAGTAAGTGAAATATATTCAACTCCCTTTTGGAATAAGCAAGTAAATGAAGTTTTGATGTTACCACTTTGGGTAATTAAAATTTGACAGGTTTTTGTGAACAACTTAATCTTAGCCCATAAAAATATTCTCACCAAACCAAACAATTCTCTACCTAAAACAAGAATGAAAAAAAGGAAAAATAGATACAAAAGCAGGTATGCATATTATAAAATGGCTAAAGATGTTAAATTAGCAAGAAAATATTGGCATTACAAGTTATTGCACTGCCAATCTGGACGTTAGAGTGTTTTCCTCCTGGGACAGAATTTTCATAATTACTTTAAGAAAATGTATAAATCACTTAGCATGGCACAGCTAGTGCTTGTATCCAACTAAACACAAATGCAGAGCTAACAAGAAAAGGAGACTAAGCAGTATTTAACAAAGTACTTACAATTATAGGTAATTTAAAATTCTTCGATGCAACTTAAGATTCTCATCTACTTTGTGTACATTATGTATGATTCTTGAAAGCAAGAAGGATTAGAGAAACCTTCTGTTGTCTAAAGAGACTTGAAATTTGACCTGACTTCCCAGTGTAAGGAAAGTCAAAGTAGGTCTAGGGACACAGACTGAGACCGATAATGGACTTCTGACCCCAGACCAATCCTAGCACTCACACATCTTCCTTAATGAGGCTGCCTCAGAAGCAGCCAGACCACTGGACTTGGGAGGGGGGACATCTAAGGGTAGACTGGGAGAGAAGACTTAAATAGCTTTCAGGAGGCTATAGGAGTATACAAAATTTGCCAGACATTAACCTCTCAACTTTCTTTTTCGATGTGTGCATTCATTAATTCCACAGACACTTACTGAGCACTTACTTGAGGGCCAGTACACGTTAGGGTAGTCATCTTTGCCCCCAGCAACACCAATAGAACTTTCTGAAATAATGGAAATATCCTGTATCTGTGCTGTCCAATATGGTAGCCACTAGGCACACATGGCTGTTGAGCACATGAAGCATGGCTAGTGTGTCTGAGGAACTGAATTCTTAATTTTATGTAATTTTAAAATTTAGATAGCCACATATATGACTAGTGGCTGCCATATTGGACAGTGTAACTTTAGGAGGTTATAGTTAAGTTGGAGGAATAGATGAAATTACAGTATAGTATAATAGAATTAGGCACAGGTGCTTTGATAAGACACAAGGATATTTATCCAGACTGGGTTAGATGGGATTTTTCCAGAATGGGAAAGTGAAACCTGAGTTGAAGTTTTAAAGGGTAAGTAGGAGTTAGTCAAAGAAAGCAGCATATTCTGAAGGCCTAGAAGTAAGTACAGCATTGTGCTTTTGGGGAACTGCCAAAAGTAAGAGTTCCAGTGTATGGCACATGTAGTAGGAGGGATGAGTAGTAAGAAGAGATAAAAATGAAAGGTATAAGCCAAGCATGGTAGTCTGTTACGTGGGAGGATGGCTTGAACCCAGGAGCTCAAAGTCAACCTGGGCAATATAGCAAGACCCCATCCCTAAAAATAAGAATTAAACAAGGCTCAGTTCCTTTTATGTTTCAAGCAGGGGAATAACATGATCAGGCTTAGTTTTTATTTAGTTTCTGTGGGGCCATTCTGTTGTTAGTGTAGACTATTAGAGGATGGCTAGGATTAGGAGAGCCTGGAGGCAGAGAGACCAGTTAATAGGCTGTGAGTGAGGCATAACTGAGATAATAACATCGAGAATAGGAAGAAGTACAAAGATTGCAGAAAGATTAAGGAAATAATCTAGAGAAGATTGGATGCTGGAAGAAAGGGAATTGAAAGGCTTAAAAATGACACCCAAGTTGTTAGTTCTTGCCACAGGGTGAGTGGTACAATAAAATAGGGTTGTTGGGGGAGATGTTAATTTGGGAAATGGAAAGAAGATATATAAAATTTTGGACAAGTGTAGAAGTCTACTAATAAGATTAAGGTAGATTATATTTTAAATTAATACTGTGGCAATTAAATTTTACAGCAAGTAGCAAAAAAGTACTGCTTTCCCCAGATGACATCTGGATGCTTTGCTATTCCCTCCTTGATGTCCATAGTCTGTTTCTGTCTCCTAGTCAAAACAGTGTTTTGATGCGCTCAGCCCTAGATCATTCTTACTTTTTAAAGATCTTCAGCTATTCTCTTTGTATCATGCATCATCACTAAAAAATGCCATCCGTCTCGTGCCACTGCACTCCAGCCTGGGCAATAGAGTGAGACTCTGTCTCAAAAAAAAAAAAAAATTCATCTGTCATCCACCTGCCTAATTTGCAATTTTGTATTCACAAACCTAGATTTTATTCTAAATAATCTGCTGGGTTTGATACATTAGAGTTGTGTTTCGATGAGTAAAACACAAGCAGGAGAAGTCTGTCAAATATATTCAACAATGCCTGTTTTTAAAAAAATGCATCAGTAACATCAAGTACAAAAATACCTACATATTTATTTTTAATCATTTCTTTTTTGAAGTATGGCAACCTTTCTACTGGTAATCTATTTCTAATACCCTTTCAGATATAAATCTGTTTTTCTGGCCAATCTCTATGTGAAGCAGCTATGTACAGCAACAACAGGAGATTGAAAAGAGCAACAGAGATTCATCTGTAGCAATAAATCCATATAGGATGAGTTTGGATTTGGGAAAGAATTAAGTGGAGTGCCACGAATAAAACTTTTGGTGGAAACATGTTAGTACATACTGTGTACAGTATGCATCTAATTTACTGTTCAGAACTGTTTTTCTGAGAGCATGAGAAAACTCATTATTGTAATACTTAACACCATTTTCTACTACAGTCTGAAATACCCTTTGTTGAATTAAGTTGGGCTCATCCTTTGGAAGGAAAGCAAGTATATAGATCAAGCTGTATTAAAATGAAAGTGCAGAGATAGTCTTAGAATGAGAATATAAAGTGCTTTTTTTAAATCCAAATCTCAAAATAGCAGGTAACATTGTATTTACAAAGAGACAGAGGTAAAACACAGGGACAATAGTATTGGGAGGCATGGATAGAAAGGCCTATAAACTGGCTTCAGTCCCAACCCTCTTCTCCATCTCCTACATTCTGACTAGTTGGTAAATGGTTCTGAAGAAGTGGATGCTTGATAAGGGCCTAAGCATTCAATATTTAATAAACATTGCTTGATGAGCATGCCCATTTAAGTTCGAGACCAGCATAGTGAAACCCTGTGTCTACTAAAAATACAAAAATTAGCCAGGCGTGGTGGTGCATGCCTGTAATCCCAGCTACTCTTGAGGCTGAGGCAGGGGAATCGCTTGAACCCAGGTGGCAGAGGTTGCAGTGAGCCAAGATCGCGCCATGGCACTCCAGCCTGGGCAACAGAGCAAGACTCTGTCTCAGAAAAAAAAAAAAAAAAAGAATAGAAATGTTAGTTTTTACTGCTAATCTAGGATGATTTTATCTTAAAAACTGAATTTCATTAAATTAGGTGGCATAATTGATGTGGTACTTACTCATAATTAATGTACATTTTTAATTATATTGGATTCAAGTCAAAGACTTGGGTAACACCAGAGCTATATAATTGAATATAGTGTAAAAGAAAATAACCAGAAACATAAAGTAAAATAGCAAAGCACAGTTAACTTTGCAGAGATCTGGGTAGACTGCCTGGGAAACCAGGGACAAAGAAAGCCCAATAGACATAATTCACACTGGCAAATGTGGCAGCTGCTAGTAAGTGCTCTTACTGATTGCTTCCTGGGTGCCAGGAGTCTTGTTTCATTTGGTTCTCATAGTATTTCTGTAAGGTATTTATTAGTCTCAGTTGTATTGATGAGGTTTAAATAACTTGCCCAAGGTGCTTAACTAGTATGCAAAGCTGTATTTGGACCTCAGGACTATGTGTGACTGTGTGGACTGTATTTTTAACCACTATCCTAAACAGCCCACCAGAGGTTACTATTCAGGCTAGATGGAGGTATTGAGAGCTTAGGGAGAAGATGAAAGAGCTTATCTTGCAATCGCCACGAGAATGAGCAAGTCAAGCCTTAGACTAAGCTTTAAACCTACTCAGCAGGGAGAAGCTCAATAACGAAAGAGAGACTGTTAGTAAAAAGCATACCCCTTACTCAAACCCCAATGCTATAGGTGTAGCCTACTGAAACTTTTGTGTAAATTCCTCTTTGGTGATGACTGGCTATGAATGTAAGGTGGCACCATTTTTAAGAAGGGAAGGGCAATAACAGTTCCCAGCAATGATGTAGATAGGACAGCAATGAGGCTGAATTTTAAAAGGGAGAAAAGGAAGCAGGACCGTATAGAAATAGTACGTATTAAAATAGTCAGTGTATTAACTATTCTGTGCCTGGTCTCTACAATCCCTTTATTATGCATCTAGCATTTGGAAACACTTCTATCAGGACTCCAGATACTCCTCGGCCTTAATTAGCTCAGGTAGACAGAATGTGGGCAAGTAGTTAGGGCGAGGAGAATGACAATGAAAATAAGTAAAACTGTTCCTTGAGTTTGCTTTGAGAGATACCCAGAACTGACATTTCAGACACTCGCATTTTTAAAAATTAATGTTTTCTCACCTTTGTGTTCTAAAAGTCCCTTCTATTTATTGTATCTCAGAATTTAATTCTTCACTTTTTTACATGTGTTTTTGTTTATAGCTTCTGCTGGCACTATAGGAAGGGTAAACAACTATTTACTGATGGTGCTTCCAATTTTGCTGTTACATGACTCAAACAAACTGGGTTTTATGAGATCTTTTTAGAAAAATACTAATAAATTATTCATTTTCAAATATTATCTCTAATAGTGTGCATAGGATCTTAATATGGCCACACTTTGGTTACATAAGTCATGATTAAGCAGAATATACAGTGGCCACATAGTAGGTATAATAACTTGATACTGCTTTTTTGTAAGATAATAAGATAAAAAACAATTACATAATATTAATTATTGGACTAAAATGACATCTTTTTAATATACATTCATCATATAGACTTTTTTCATAGGCAAGGGTATTATGCATTTTATAGCCCACTGATTATTCCATTAGACACAAAATAAAATCTTTGAAACATGCAAAATGAAATACTTTTGAGACTAGAGTATCGTTGCTCTATCAGTCGTTTGTTTTTACTAAATAGAAGCAAAAAAAGACTATCTGATTGCTTTCATAAATGTGTGCTCTTTTTCTTGTACATTACAGGAAAATGAAAAAATAATCATTAAAAAAAGGATTCTAAAAACTTTGTTCCTCACCTTGCGTCATAATTTTGTTTGTTTCTTTCATGACTATTGTTTTGTTTTCTTTGCGGTCATTTTAGAACCATTAAAGAAGTACGAGCAATAGGTAGGGCCAATGCAAACCCTACCATTGCTGGTTGTAAACTATAAAATATATGGCAAATAAAGTGTTAATTAAAAATCAGTCTGTTCTTAGGATTTTCTGGTTTTTGAAACTTTTGAAGGTCAAACATACAACTATTTTTTAGCCAGAACTTTTCTTAATTAGATGTTATTTGCCTAATCAAATAAATGAATTTGATTACAGTTTAGTAAATGTGTTATTTGATATTGTGGACTGTTTCATCAGATTTCACTTGAATCAAGAAAGGTAACACCTGTGTATTGCCTCCACAAAAGCCTCTTTTGTTAAATGGACACCCGCAGGCCATGAGGCAATTACATTTGTTGTTTGTGCTAAAAAGGAGGCACTTAACTAGACCTCAGTAAATATAGCTGAGAACTAGAGGCTTGATTCTTTTGTCCAGCCCTGAGATTAGGTTTTATCATAGCTCAGGAAGTAAACCTAGCTCAGGAAGTAAACCTCTGTCGTAGAAAGGAAAAACAAGAATGATTTAAAGGTCCCTTTAATGCCTTAAAATTTAGCTGTAAAGTTAGCTATATCTGAGGCACATGGAGAATTCAGGTTTGGGCAAAATTAAAACAGTTTATGGCATTCATGAAAACATATATTCATATATTCAGTCTTATGCATTCATTCAAAATGGCATAGCATATTTACAAGAGTACAAAATTAATCCAACTTAAAAGTTTTGATTATGAGACGTAATGAACAAAGAGATAGAATTAGGCATTTCCATTTTGGGCCATTTGTAAAACATTTACTATAAATGTGTTTATTAGAGTGGTTTTCAGCCTTAGTTGTAAAGTTATCATAGCTTTTAAAAAAACACATTTTATTATCTGTCTCTGTGAGCACAAAAAAAGGAAAGAAAAATACATGTTAATCTACCATTTTATCCTCTTCATATTTTATTATTATAATATTGCTATAGAATTCTTTTTTCTATTATCTGGTTTGAATTTTCAACTTACTGACAACTAGTAGGTTAATCTAACAGACAATAACTGTGTTTAAAGTTAGAAAGAAAATGTTCTGTTCCTTGCCTCATTCCATATCAGGAAAGTCAGGTGTTGTGTTTCAGACCCAAACCAAAAAATGTGTTTTACTGTATGTTTGTTTAAATGTGTTCTTGGCTAGAGTAATATTTTAGTCATCTGTAGATTTGATGACAGTACTGTGAAATAAATGACAAGTCATTTACTTGTACTGTACAAAGAAGCATATCCTACTATATGGATTAGAGGTTAGGTTAACTCTCTTTCCACACTACCAAAGACAAAAAAAAAAAAAAAAGCCCAACCCTGAAACACCTTTTAAAAAAATTCAACAAGCTCCCCCAACCTGCATCATGAAGGATGATGCTCCCTTTTTTAAAAGTATGAACATCACCAAAAGGGTTAAGCAGTTTGTATTTTAAGACACACATACACATATATTTCTGTGTATATATACATATGTATACTTTAAGTTACTTAAATAGTATGCACTGGTCATAAAAATGTATATTTTGAAATATATATTTTAAAAATTTTACAGTTATACACATTGCCCTGCAACTTATTTTTTCCTCTGGCTATCTCATGGAAATCTTTCCATTATTTATGTATTTATTTTTACTGGCTGTTTACTAATATATAAAAGAAAGATATTCTATTTAACCTCTGCCTACTGAGGAACATTTATGCCATTGCCAGTCTTGAGATGCAGAAAATACCATAGTGAATTTCCTTGTTTGTACATAATTGCCTGCTGAGTTTGGCAAATCTTTTCCAGAGTTTTGATAGGGAAAGGGTAAAAACATAAAGGAGACTCCACTGAAGGGGATGCAAGATGGAGATGCCAAAGCACACGTCACACATCAAAAATTTTAGTCTTCACTGAAATGATTCTCTTTATATTGTTGCAAGTATGCTAAAAAAGTATTTTAAGGCTGGGCGCAGTGGCTCACGACTGTAATCCCAATACTTGGGGAGGCCGAGGCGGGCAGATCACTTGAGGCCAGGAGTTTGAGATCAGCCTGGCCAACATGTTGAAACCCCATCTCTACTAAAAATACAAAAATTAGCTGGGCATGGTGGTGCATGCCTGTAATCCCAGCTACTCAGGAGGCTGAGGCAGGAGAATCGCTTGAGCCTGGGAGGCAGAGGTTGCAGTGAGCCAGGATTGCACCACTGCACTCCAGCTTGGGCGAGAGAGCGACATTTTGTCTCAAAGAAAAAAAAGTTTTTTTTAAATTATGTAATTTGAACATCTGCTTCTGGCAGTGATGGAATAACTGGTCATGAACTTGCCCTCCTGCCATAAACAACTAGAAAACTGGACAAAAATATGTGAAACTACTGTTTTAATACATTGCATAGCAGGCAGTATGAAACTAATCCTTGAGAGAAAGGAAACAAAATAAGCCTGTACTTGCCCCAACTTCTGTCTTAAAGCAGTTTTCAGATAACAGTACAAGGAGGGAAAGTCAAGCAAAGCACAGGTGGTCTTTGCTGAGTTGAGACAAAGATTAGGGTACAGGTATGCTTAAGTGGTTGGGATTTATAAATCCGACTACCATGGAGCAAAGAGCTAAAGAAAGATCTCCAGAAATCTACGTAGATATTCCCTTGGCTTTGGGCTCAATACTAAATTGTGCCTGCTTATGGTGAAACTTAAAGAGACTGAGGAATGAATGACTGCTGGGGAGCTGTAAGCCAAAAAGGTCCCAGAACTCACACAGAGCTGAGAGACATTTGTGTTCTGACCAGCCAGTGTGGACAGATCTTGTTGATATCCAGAACTTTCAGTAGAGACTCTGGAAAAATCAAATCTTAGTGGTAGGACTAAAATAGCCCTTAGAATAAAATGTAAGATAAAGACCCAACCTAGCAGGCTTATAAACAAGGCTTGAAAGGAATAAGGTGACTGCCGCTAACTTAACTACCTCACAGAAACCAGACTCCCTCAACATTCAACACTCTATAAAAACAGACAACAAAATCTACTCAGCAAGTGAGTGTCCAGTTTAATCAGAAATTACCAGATATGTGAAGAAGCAGAAAAATGTAACACATAATCAAAAGTAAATCAGTTAAATAGACCCAGAAATGACAGAAATTATGGAATTAGCAGAGAAGCACTCTAAAACACCAATTCTAACTATTTTTGAGGATCTAGAGGAGATGAACATATTGAGGAAATAAATGGTATAAGAAAGAACCAAATGTAATTTTTAGAGCTTAAGAATACATTTGGTGGTCTTTAGTAGATCAGAAACTACAAAAGAAAAGATCTGGGAATTTGAAGACAGCAATTAAAAGTATACAAACTGAAGGAAAGGAAAAAGTCTGGAAGAAAAAAAAATGAGTAACCCATAGGACAGGTCAAGCAGATTAACATGAAGGCTATGGATGCCCCAGGATAGTGGGTAGAAGAGAAGGTGATCTATACATTTTTTTCCAATTTTGTCCAAAATGATGAATCAGAGATCCAAGAAGTACAGAAAGAAGTTCTGGCCTAATACAAAGAAAATCAAACCAGGGAAGACAGAGAAAATCTTAACCAGAGAAAAAATATATTACATACAACTGAGAACAAGGAGTTTCTGCTGATCTATTATAAAAAACAGCAAGAAAAGAAAATGAAATCTTTAAAGTGTTAGGTGGGGAAGCACTGTCAATCCAGAATTCTGTATTCACTGATGAGGATGAAAATATACTGCTGCGAAATTCTTTCCTTTCTTACCTTACATGAAGTGGTATAATATGTGAAGATAGTTATACCTGAAGAAAAGGTGGACTGTGATTAATGATGCATATTGTAAACCCTGGAGTAACAACTTCAAGAATAAGATCTATGTTAAATATGGCAATTGAATAAATGAAAAAATTCAGAAAAATAATCCAATAGAGAGGAGGAAAAAAGGAAACAAAAACAGATGCAACAAATACTTCACATCATGCACAGAAGTTATCTCAAAATGGATCACATACCTAATCAAAGCTAAAGCTATAAAATTTGTAGAATATAGTATAATATGTTCATAATCTGGGGGCAGGTAAAGATTTCTTAGGACACGAAAAGCACGAAACACAATAGGAAAAAAAGTATGAATTGGACCTCAGCAACATTAAAAACTTCTGCTTGTCAAAACATCATTTAAAAAGATGCAGCCTGGGAGAAAATATTTGCAATCCCATCAAAGGACTTGTATCCATGGTAAATAAAGGACTGGTACAATGAATAAGAAGATAACCCATTTTTAAAATGGCCAACATATTTTAATGGATACTTCACAAAAGATAATACTAGTATGCATAATGGAAAAATGCTTTCATCAGAGAAGTGCAAATTAAAACCACAATTTAATATCCTTAACCTGCTAGAATGGCAAAACATTTAAAAACTGATAATACCAAGTGCTGGAGAGGTTGTGGAACAACAGGAACACAGTCATACATTGGTTGTTGGGAGTATACAATAGTATCACTTTGAAAAAGGTTGGTAATTTCTTTAAGGTTAAACATAGACTTACTGATGACCCAGAAATTCCACCCTTAGATACTTACTGAAAAGAAATAAGACTTGTACATGAATGTTCACAGTGCTTTATTTTTACTAGCACCAAACTGCAAACAACCCAAGTATCCACCTCCAGTTTCATAGATAAACATTGTGGTTTACAGTGGAATACTTCTCAGAAGTAAAAAATGAATGACTTTTACATACAACATAGATTAATCATAAAAACTTGCTAAGCAAAAGAAGGCAGACACAAAATAGGTACTTTGTAATTCCATTTATATGAAATTAAGCAACAGGCACAACTACTATCTAGTAACAGAAAGCAGTTCACTCGTTGACTGGGTCTAGGCATGGCGATAGGAACTGACTGCAAAGGAACAGAGGGAACTTTTCGGCATGGAAGAAACATCCTGTATCATTGTGGTTGTGGTTAGATGGGTATGTACATTTTTCAAAACGTGTGTCAAAACTTAAAACAGGTGCATTTTACTGTATATAAAATATACCTCTATAAAATTGATTTTTAAAGTGAAATAAAGTTCTCACTCTTTTCCCCCATACCAAAAATAATTATATATTTAAAAGGAGGAGTAATTGCAAACATTATGTTTTTTTACTGGTAAACTGAGTATGGGTTGAGCATCCCTAATCTGAATATGCGAAATCCAATATGCTCCCAAATCTGAAGCTTTTTGAGTGCCTGTGTGATGCCACAAGTGGAAAATTCCACATATGACTTCACATGACGAGTCATAGTCAAAACACAGTCAAAACTTTGTTCCTTGGACAAATTATAAATACTGTATAAAATTACCTTCAGGCTATATATATATGAGGTGTATATGAAACATAAATGAATTTCATGTTTAGACTTGGGTCTCTTCCCCTGGATATCTCGTGTATATGCAAATATTCCAAAATCTAAATATATGAAACCTGAAACACTTCTGGTCTCTAGCATTTCAGATAAGAGATACTCAACCTGCAACTTATAGAGGTGGATCAGCAAAGATGCCTGCTTTAATTTTAAAAGATCTGTACGTAGAGGTTTTCTTGTTTTATAGAGATCTTGTTAGATTAAAGGTAACATCAGTGATGAAGCTGTTTCCTTGATTTGTGTACTTTACATGAAGTGTTGTCTGAGATGTAGGCAATCCCTTTACTGTAAATGGATGCATGGTCATTAACATGTATGGATTTCAGGTAATGAGGAGTTAGCATGTCTCATATTTGAACCTATTTCTTTTTCCTTGACTAAATGTCAAATTTAGTACTTCACAGGTTATTTTAAGTATCAAATGAAAGGCTCCTGGTCATATGTTCTAGATGTTTTTTTTAGAAGATTCCTTTCTGTAGTTGTTAATTATATTACTCCAGCGATGGTTGGGCGCACTGGCTCACCCCTGTAATCCCACCACTCTGGGAGGCTGAGGCGGGTGGATTGCTTGAGGTCAGGAGTTCAAGACCAGCCTGGCCAACATGGTGAAACCCTGTCTCTACTGAAATAGAAAAATTAGCTGGGTGTGGTGGTGGACACCTATAATCCCAGCTACTTGGGAGGCTGAGGCAGGAGAATTGCTTAAACCCAGGAGGTGGAGGTTGCAGTGAGCCGAGATCACACCACTGCACTCCAGCCTGGGCAACAGAGCAAGACTCCGTCTCAAAAAACAAAAATTACTCCAGAGATGATGTCGCTAATTTGAAAGAAACTCAGGTCATAACTGCTACAAAAGTGACCTAGCTAATGGCAGTTATCATTGTGCTTTCAAAGAATTTCTATTTACAAGTATTTAACCACCAGCAAATATCTGAGTTCCACTTTTGGTTTAGGTACTGTAAATAATTAAAATCATCTTTTAAAAAGCATATGGATATAAAAGTAAATACTGCATAAAAAACTAAAAACTTTGTGGAACATAATATAAAAAGACAAAAAATAGATTGGGAAAAATGTTTGCAATAAATGTATTAATCTTTGTATTATATAAGAAATACACATAGATAGGAAAATTGAGATCCCAAAGACTAATATATGCAAAAGTAGGCACAGACTATTCACTGGATATTAAATTCAATCAGAAAACACACAGAATAATATTTGACACTGCCAACAATCAAATAAATGCACAGAAAAATATTACCAAGGTATTAAATTAGTTATTATTTACAAAAATTAAAAACGTTCATCCAAGCCTTATAACCATTTGTCAGGATGTACTCCCAAAGAATAAAACAGTTAAATGTAAAAGAAGAAACCATGAGACCTTTCTAAGAAAGACTCAAAATTCAGAAGACATGAAAGCAAAGGCTCATAACAGAAATGAGAAACTGGGAATATTTGCTATTTGTACCACAAAGGGCTAATCTCCCTAGTATTGAAAGAGTGCTTATGAAATGAGGGAAAAAAAGGAGATCAATCCAGTAGCCAAATGGCAAAAGACATGCAAAAAGATATCACAGAGAAGGAATTAAATGCCTCTTAAACACGAAAAGAAGATTCAGCTTCACTCATAAGACAAAGGTATCATTTTTTGCCATATATATTGGCAAAAATCTATTAGATTGGTGCAAAAGTAATTGTGGTTTTTGCCATTAAATGTATTTTGCGGCAAAAACCGCAGTTATTTTTGCACCAAACTAAAATGCAATAAAAGTCAAATCATGGCATTACTGCCTGTTGGTTTATTCTGGTATAAAATAGTAAAAACTGACAGAAAAGCCAAGCAGGTTAAAAATAATATTAAAGGTTATAATGTAGGGCCCCAAGCAAGGCTGACTTTGTGTGTTAAGTATTGGAAACAATCAGGTTGGTAAGGGCAGGCAAGTTTAGGGAAAGCTTCATGAAGAGATGGAATGTAGAAACCACTGATCCTGGTTCAATGGGATGGTCAGACAAAGATATCCCTAGATTGTTGATAGTTGCCTTATTAGTTTGCATAATGTTTTAATTTTACTTTTACTGGTGTCCATAACTACATGGTTTTATTTATTCATATATATTACCTGTTTTTAGAACTCAGGAAAAAACACATTTTAGGAAGAAACTATGGAAATTTAGACACGAAAGATGTTCACCTTATAGCTTTATCAAATAACACTTCAGAATGTTAATTACATATGGCTTTTCCAAATTCATTATTTTGTTCCTTTTTTGATGACTGTGATGTACACACTTTCCTACTAGAGCAGTCTTACACTTCACTGCACATATGTCTATTTTATTAGATAGCAAGGAAGTGGCCTTGCTATTGGCCCTTGGACAAACTAGTTCCAGTAATAAAAGTGAATGATCATACAGTTTCTGATATTCTTTCAGTAAACTTATGTCCTTTTTCTACAAATAGATTTAATGTTTAAATGTATCTAAACGCAGAGTTAATTTGGAGATTTTTGGCAAATATTTGTACATAAGACTTTCCAGAATCTTAAAATCGCTTACGTAAGTGAAATTCAAATTTTACATTCTTGTATACATTTACTTTTCAAGAAAGTAATTTGTGATTAAAAAAAAAAGTTGCATTATCTCTTATTAAACCCAGTAGTGTATTTTTCTTCATAAAAGGTTTACAAGTAAAACCAGTCAAAAGAATAGTGAAAATAAATTCCTTCCCCATACATAGATCATTTTGGTCTGGTCAATAATTCAACTGTCTTAGATAACAAAACTGTAAAATAAAAACTTTTAAAAAGCAATTTTAAAGATTGTTGCTGGAAAGTAAGTTTTTTAGTTTACATTGAACAGAAATAGGCAAATGTCTCATATTGCAGGTGGCTTAAAAAAAACAATGTATTCTGTTCTAAATATGCTTATGATTGTCACTGAGTAAAAATCTTGTTATTTACCAGTTTATACATAGAACATTATAGGAGATAGTCTTTTCATTTAGGAGAAGGTCACCATCATTAATTTTACAACTGATGATTTTATAATAGGTCCTTCTGGTTCTTCATGGTCATTATTGAAGTATAATGCATTGAAGATATGGCCTGTACAAAGGCAGAACAGGGATGTTAATTAGAATTCTGACAAGCCTACTCCAATAAAATGATGAGATTATTTGTAATTGATGTCACAATCAATTACCATTTAGTTCATCATGAGCATTCTAATAGGTTTGGCTTTGGTATTGGCCCCAGGATGTTGCTGAGTGAGTGGCTGCCCTGCTTATACTGTTATTGAGACACAAGGGCGCATTTTCAGTCAGCATCCTAATGACCTCTTTTGAAGTCTATTAAATTAATGACCCTGTCACACTATTTTGATCTCTTATAACCTCAGTTTGGGGTTTGTATAACAAATTAATATTTGGGAACCATATGACAAAAAAAGATGATAGGTTTTTAAAAAAGTTGAAACCTTTGATATTTAGTAAAAGTTATTGTGCAAGAAATAAAAGCAAAAATGCAATATTAGGATTTGTATCTATTCTATAAAAGAGAGCCTTAGGACATTTCTCCCTACCTCTGAATGACATGCTTTTTAATTATAGTACCCAAATTAGGTTTTATCTTTAAGAGGCTGCATTTCTTCTCTAATTCTAGGTGCCAATGGGTCATGTTTGGTTAGAAGGTGACAATCTACAGAATTCTACAGATTCCAGGTGCTATGGACCTATTCCATATGGACTAATAAGAGGACGAATCTTCTTTAAGGTACCATTTTCTGCTTAAAATGTAAGGTTTATTTTCTGAGCTAGAAAAAGTTTCTCTCAAAATGATCTCTGAAATCTTCAAGCTGTCAGTGTACTTAACTGTTGCACCGAATATATTTTTTGAACCTGTTGGCCTTAACTTAATAGCCATATGCAAACCTATTCCCCCATTGCCCCTGCTCCCATAGAGATAATAATAAAATCCAAACTACCTTAGCTATAGCCTAAGAAAACTTTAATTTGAATTTCCAAAAGTTCAGTTCTCTCTTGTACAACTCTTAAAACCATGTTCACATCCTGCCCAGGGCATATTTTAATAAGCATGTGCAGAAGAACAGTCTAGATTCAAACTACCTGTAAAGTAGGGATACCCCAGTTGAGTACTGTGAGTCACAGACTTATTGTGAATGTATGATTATTAGGGAAGATTGTTTTCACTGGCCCCTCCTTTTTATCACAATCAGTGAGGAGAAAAACATTCATGAATACATGGAGCTGTTGGATAATTTACAGGATTCTTTACATTTAAAACAGATGCCATATTCAAGTACTTAAACCTAAGCCCCTTTGGTTGAAAGTACACAGTTAACTCTTACTTGCAAGTAGTAAAAGAAAACACAGACCATATATTCATACATATTTATTCACACACCACACACATATAATTTCATGTACATTGTTTGAATGTCCCAAACTTTGGAGTTTAAACATATATACACATAAGTTTATTTTCTCAAGTCTTACTTTGATGTAGAAAATTTTATTCTTGATTGATGAGTAAGGAGAAAGTGTTTATCTGGCATAGAGAAAAGGGACAGATAGCAAAAGGGAATATGATGATACTATAACATTACTTTCACTAATTGTCTTCAACCTCATTTTGATTTTACAGATTTGGCCTCTGAGTGATTTTGGATTTTTACGTGCCAGCCCTAATGGCCACAGATTTTCTGATGATTAGTAAGCATTTATTCTTTTGACTTGATTATTGTCTCCTTTTCATGTGAATTTATTACTCCCGTTGAAACCGTGTACTTACCAATAAACTATTTGCTATTCAGTTTTAGTTGTTTTTAATTGTTAAATGTAAAGAATATTCAACACACATTCTGCCAAGTTCTGTTAGTTCAAAATATATGGATAAAAATGTAACCCAAAAAAGTCATCTAAATTTTATGATACAAAAATATTGTGGGAGGGGGAACCTGGATGACTACCTCACTTTTGAATTCTTGTTCTTATAGGTATAATGAAACTAATCTATTCTTCTTAAATATACCTCATACTTTAGCAGCTACATTTACAAGTCAGAGTAGTAACTATTCGTATTTATAAGTTCAACCTGACAATGCCAGGTTTGATAAAAAGCTGCTAGTCTACATGCTCAGCCCACTCATTTGAAATTAAGTAAAAATGTTTCTAAAGGATCCCTTAAAGTTCTTTAAATGAGTTCTGACTTTTACTGTACACAAAATATTAAATACATAGAAAAATGCATCTTTAAGGCATATGCCATCTGTAGTTGGCTATAGTCAATAATACTTTATAAAAGTTCATTTCAGCATAGCAGCAGTGCAATGGCCCTGTCTTCATAAATACAGGCATTAATACTATATCTTTTTTTATTTATTTTATTTTATTTTTTTTGAGACAGAGTCTTGCTCTCTGTAGCCCAGGCTGCAGTGCAGTGGCACAACCTCGGCTCACTCTGCCTCCTGGGTTCAAGTGATTCTTGTGCCTCAGCCTCCCGAGTAGCTGGGACCACAGGCAGACACCAACGTGACTGGCTAATTTTTAAAAAAATTATTTTTAGTAGATATGGGGTTTCACCATGTTGGCCAGGGTGGTCTTGAACTCCTGACCAAAGGTGATCCGCCTGCCTTAGTCTCCCAAAGTGCTGGGATTACAGATGTGAGCCACCATGCCTGGCCCCAATATTATATCAACACTCCAAAATAAAAGGGGAAATAATGCACCAACTTCCAAGTCATTATTTTTAAAAAAGCTTCTGGCCAGGCATGGTGGCTCACGCCTGCAATCCCAGCACTTTGGGAGGTTGAGGTGGGCGGATCATTTGAGGCCAGGAGTTCAAGACCAGCCTAGCCAACATGATGAAATCCCATCTCTATTAACAAAACTTAGGCCAGGCACGGTGGCTCAAACCTGTAATCCTAGCACTTTGGGAGGTCGAGGCAGGTGGATCACCTGAGGTCAGGAGTTTGAGACCAGCCTGGCCAACATGGTGGAACCCCATCTCTACTAAAAATACAAAAATTAGCTGGGCATGGTGGTGGGCACGTGTAATCCCAGCTATTCGGGAGGCTGAGGCTGGAGAATCACTTGAACCCAGGAGACGGAGGTTACAGCGACCTGAGATCATGGCACTGCACTCCAGCTGGCGCGACAGAGTGAGACTCTGTCTTAGAAAAAAGAAATTAAAATTAAAAGCTTCCATTTCCTAAATTACATTTAAATTTGAAGATGGCAGTGTTTACAAGCTTTGGAAATACGGACCAAGATTGGAGGCAACACTTTCTACAGTTGCCACTTTGTCTTTATTAACTTTGAAATAACCTTATGAATATCCATAACCAGCCTTCCTTATGGAAGAACTGGCCTCACATTATTCACAAAGATTCTAGGTGTACAACAGCCCCATAACTTTAGCAACTAGAAACGTTATCGGTTAGACCAGAAACTTAGTAACTATAAAGGAATATGATGATACTGTTACCCACTGAAAAGAGGAGACATGCTCATATTAAGAAAATTCTTATTTTGTGTCATGGAAAAAAATGACATAATAAAGTTCTCAGATGGGAATTCACCAAATATAATCAAATCTATTTTTGTGACAACTTGTAAATATAAATTATAAATACAAATAAATAATTATATTCATTCTCTATTAATCTGAGGTGGTCTCTGCTTGATAATTGTATATTTTCTTTGCAAATAATCGGGCTGACAAATAATCCATTTCCTTGAATGGACAAAGCTCAACGGCTTCTCATCATGTCTCAATACCACAGTTAAAGCATTTCAAGTTGTGAACAATTTTAGTTATAATGAAGGAGTTCTATAATTAGTGAACATGTATCACAAGAAATCAGGCTAACTTCTTCCGCTTCATCCTTGGAAACACTGTATTTTCCACCACATCTGCAACTCAGATAAAAAGAGTGATCACCTGCAAAAGAAAACAAAATAATCTTTCAAAGACTTGTAAGTAACTACCTCACTAATACCCTTAAAAGGTGCAGAGTTTATTCCATAGGAATTGTAAAACAAAACAAAGAAGCTCAGTAAAGATAAAATGTATTTAAAGGAGAACTGGATTTCTTGAAAGGGGCAGTGTTTCTAAAAATTATCTACCAAAGAATCTTTCTCTGTAGAGGAGATGGGTTGAAGCTATGAATTAAAAGTCCAAGGATTTTGGGAGGAGAGGGCATGCTCAGAAGTAACCCATGAAACTTATTTGAAGTTTTATGTTTTCTTAAAATTCATATAAATTTTACATTCTTTTCAACAATGTATTTGTCTAAAATATTACAGTGAAGGAAAAGAAAAACAGCCCTACCTGTCTCACTGTTAGGGAGGATGATGCTTTTGCCTGAAGTCTATCCTTTAGAGAAAGCCAGACTATTTATCAAATGCAACATCTGGATACTTTCTCTTCTAGTGTCACACTATTTCAAGAATCTTGACTTAAGTCTATAAACACAACACCATGTTGTTGTTGTTTTTTTAAATCCTATGGGGGTATGTGTGTGTGTGTTTGATGTTTACAAATGATACATGAACCAACAAGATGCTGAAGTGAGATGCCCAAAGGAGGCAATACGGTGCAATACTTAGGCTCCTGATCGTGGAAATTTTAAGTGTGTCATTTTCCTGGGAAGTTGAAATGCTTGTGCCCTTTGACTTAAAGAATCTCTGATCCATTGGTCATTCCATTTTACTGTCTCTGAGAAGTAACTGTCAAAGGAAAATAACTTATCAGTCACATTATTTTACCACCATTATAATTGATTATTACATAAATAAGTCTCAAAGGACTCATGATTTCATACAAATATCTTCATTCCATTATCAAATTTGATTAATACTTAGATCGCATCATATGTAGTTTAAAAAAGAAAAATTCCACTGCCTTGTACCTGCTCTCTTATCAAGTTCAGCCTTGGAAAAACTGGCAATTAAATAAGCTAACTTTATGTGTTTTTTTTTTTTTTAATCAGTAAGGAAAATGAATTCATTCACCTAATCCAGCTTTTTATTCTTTACCACAATGCCTTTGCTCTCCATACAGAAAAATAATTTAATCTTGAATTCCAAATGCAAACATCTTCCCTGTCTAAGCCAACATCTATGTACTACAGCATGTTCTGAAAATGAATTTTTTTATTATTAAATTGTCTAAAAAGATACATATTCTAACCATTGATTTTCCTAAGCTAAATCTCCCCCTACCCCCTTGTTTTTCTACTACCTCAGTGAACCCTGAAAAACAATTTGAGTTGACATGTTCTTGGTAAATGACACAGAGGACACCATGGGCTACTGTGGAGTTTTGTCATAGATGACTCCAAATGTTAATGCTCACTAAAAATTCACATCTTGTAAAAGTTCTGCTTATATTATTATACCATCAATCTTTTAACCAGGTGATAACTTTTACAGAAATCATCATTTTAAATACTCTGAATGAAGGCCAACAAAATGACCAAGGCATATAACAGACTAACTGTAAGGGCAAAGATTAGCTTCAATATCTGAACAACTCACATATGCCTTTTAAGCATAATAAAATGCATCATTTCATACTGCCCTTTGATCAGGCAACCAACAATTTGGCTATGTCTATCCTGTAGGGTTTCATGAACTTTTCTCCTGTTCTGGAGCTTCACTTTCCATAGCTATTCTGCAAATGATCCTAAAGGGATCTTCAAACAAATTTTTCCTTTCCTAGTTGATCACACTTTTTATTTAATTTCATCTGCCAAAATTGCTCTTTTTAATTGGAAAAAAAATTTAGCTCAAAACTTCCATGATTCGTTTTTAAGTATTTCTACAAGAATAATGGTTTCATGTAGCTCTTGCTCAGTATTTTCTCTCATTAAGATAAGAATTATTTCCATCTTTAGTTATGAAAACCTAAGCGTCTAAGGGCATCCTATACTTTTAAGATTAACTGTATTGGCTATGGATGGGATTCTTCTATATCTTCTTTACTGTCAAATTTACTTTAGGGAGTTCCAGGGGCAATAATACATTGATGATAACGCTTGATGATTTTTTGTTGTATATTTCCTTCCATATGTTAGCATTTTCATTTGTATCAGAAAGTCCATGTATTTATTGACTGGACAGATGCTTAAGCCATATTGTTTCTTCCTTTTCTTTTTAAAAATATATATATAATATACTTCTAATCTTTCTTGTAGAGATGTGGTCTTGCTATGCTTGTTTTTTTTTTAAATTTTTTTTTTTTTTCCTATTCTCACAATCTGTTCTCACAGTCTTCCTATGTTGCCCAGGCTGGTCTCAAACTCCTGACCTCTGCGATTCTCCAAACTCAGCCTCCCAAAGTGCTGGGATTCCAGGCTTCCAGCCCGTATTCTCATTTAAAATTAAGATCTTAACATTATATTGTTATATATTTAAAAGGTAAAAAAAAATTTATAAAAACCAGTTTTCACTATTTTCACAGTCATAAACAAAATATATTACCCATATCGACTATAGCAAGAACTAATTTATTAAGACATTAAACACATACAAACATACATATACATACCAATAGATAAGGAGACAAACTATATTTTCAAAACATATTTAGTCTCCTTGAAGTTTGTGTATTTGGCAAAAAATAAAAAGTATATGTGTGTATATATACATATGTGCATATATTTTTTTTAACTGGGCAAGTCTTCCTGATAAATGACATATTCTAGAGTGTCCCTTCCACACACCAGCAGTGAAAATCTGTATCACTAGTGTATTGTTTTCACAGTATTTCTTCGTGTTTACTCTGATGAGACTGTCACCACCAAGAGCCCCAGTTACACAAAACCTCAACTTTTCCAATTATTCACTGAATTTCTACTCTAGGATTTCACTTGAGGGGTTGGGGACAGAATGGCCCCAGAGGCAAAGACATGATTCCCTTTCTAAGTTAGGCTTGTGACCCACGTCTTAGGGGCACTAAGTTAAGAATTTGCCATTTAAAAAGTAAATTTGGTTTCAGATGGCTCTGTTTTTGTCTTCTACCTATCCACACTCATTAGTAGATTTTTATAAACCTGGAGGGAATTTGTACTCATGCTGAACAATAAGGTTAAAAGGTTAAGCATATATAAAGATTCTAGGAAATAGTAAGATTTTCTTCATTTGCCCAGAGAAACAAGTAAGTATGGTACTCATGGCTTCTGTTTAGTAAAGTGTGTTTCCCAATGTAATGATGTCTAACCAGAACAATTCAAGGAACCATCAGAAGAATAGGGAAACGACATTGAATTTAAGTTCTAAAATTTTAATAACAGAAAAGCAAAAAAGACATGACTTCATGTTGCATCAAGGGAAATGGCAGATATTCTTTTCTTCTTATAAGACAATCAGTATGTGAGCGTTAAAAAAAAAAAAAAAAAAATCAAGCCTCTTAAAAGCCCTGTCCTGACAGTTTATGATTTTATATAAAGGGAAAATAAAAATTCTAATAGGAATTCATCTTGTCAACATTAAAAGGAACGGAAAAAAAAAACTATCTTGTTTGACATTATTTACCATACTACAATACTACATAGACAGTAATGCAAAAACTAAAGTAAAAAAACACAACAAAAAAACTCTTATGAAACTTTATGTTCCTAACATCTAATTAGAATATAAAAATAACTGGAAATGAGTCATATAGGGGGACATCAGTCAATAAATAAAGTTTAGAATTAAGCAGAAATACTCCAGACAGAAACACTTACCACATATATATAGAAAGCCACACTATTATTTCTTTTTAAGATTTCCAAATATCCAATGAGTTTTTTTTTCTTATAGAAAATTCCTTTTTTTTTTAAATGTTGTCAAGAGAAAAAAAAAATCCAACCTTCATTCCAAGACATTTCTTCAAGATATACTTGAGCATCTACTGGTCCTACATTTCTTAGATCATCTTCTGTAAAACATAAAACATGACACTTAATTGTAAAACATGATACTTTAATTGTAACCTTGAAGAATGCTAAAAAGGCAACGCCAGCCTGGCCACTACAATTCTAACTTACCTATCACTTAAAAACTTAGACTAGTATTTTTGACAGCAGTGTTAAAGTAACCTGACTTTAGCTGACTGAAAAATCTAGAACATAACATTTCTTATAAATTTTTTGTCAAAATCAATCCCGTTTTTCACAATCATGCAACATGGAAAGGCATGAAGTTAATTTTGATGATTCTTTGCAGTCAACTAGTGACTTCTATTTTGTAAGCAGTAGGGAAATGTTTTTTGTTTGTTTGTTTGTCTTTTGTCAGATAAACTAGCTAAGAAAGCAGTGTGGACTTAGATAAAAATAACTATCTGAACCTTAGTTATAATATTTTACTAACTTTCTAACATTAGGTGTATTGGTTTGTTCATCTCTAAAACAGCAGTTATCTCTTCTTATCTGCTTCAGGAGGGTTGCTGTTGACCGAATTGTGTCCCCCTCAAATTAATATGTTGAAGCCCTAACCCATAATTTGACTGTTCTTGGACATAGGGCTTTTAGGAGGTAATTAACGTTAAATGGAGTCATAAAAGTGGGGTTCTAATCCAATAGGACTGGTGGCCTTAAAGGGAAGGGATTAGAGAGTGATCTCTTTCCACACGCACCCACACATAAAGGAAGGAGCATATGAAGGCACAGCAAGAAGGAGGCTGTCTGCAAGCCAGGAAAAGAGCCCTCATCAGAAACCGAGTCAACCAGCACCTTGATCTTGGACTTGTTAGCCTCCAGAACTGTAAGAAATACATTTTGTTTATGCCACCTAGTCTATGGTATTTTGTTATGGCAGCTGAGGCAGACTAATAGAAAGCTGTTCTCCATATCAAATGAGATCAGACTAAAAGTGCTTTAAAAAATAATGCTCTATCCAAATGTAAAAGCCTATTAATCATTTTACATTTGATTGTTTGCAAGAGATTAAGTAACTTAAAAGAATACTTATTTCAGTATTTCAATAACCCCACAACACAAATGTATTGTGTTGATGTTCCATTGCTGTTTCCTGGTCCAAAGTTTTTGCTGCAGATGGAAGGTCCAAGGAAGCCTGGAATTCCACCTAAGCTTTGTAACAGGAGCATCTACTCTCTTGCTTAAAACAAGTGTTCTTTGGGTCAAAGATGGCAATCAAAGATGGGAAGCATTTGTCTTTGTTTTAAAAGGCAGGTTATATTTCCTGTATGCTTGTATTGTTCTTCTAGAATAAAAAAAAGAAGAAAAAAGAAAAAAACAAAAAAAAACTCTACTAAAATCCACTCCCCACCCCAATAAAATTTTCTTTAGCTGTCTCACTAGTCTCTTGTTCACTTGCTGAGAATGCTTCCCTTTGTTCTGTGACATGAATGCCCTCAATTTAATTATATTTAGTAACTGCCTGTTCAAAATTTATTAGTGAGTTACATAATTTTAAAATAGATAAAAAGATTATACAATATTGTGAACTCACCATGGTTTTCTATTAAAGTATGTCAGATATTATACCACTTCATATTTACTGGGTACCAGTAGTCTATTAGACTGTCCCTAAAATCCAAAGATAAGGATTTTGCCTAGTGGTCAGAGATAGTTCCTCCATCTCTGTATGTCTACTGGATAGCTTATGCAGAATCTATCTGTATGCTAAGTAATTTCTGAACAAAACAAGTTAATTTCCACATTCTATGTAAAGTACAATAGGCTATATGCTCTTCAGATACTCCTATTTTTAAAAAATTCTTCTAAAATTTTCATGAGTGGGGACAAAAATCTTAATCACATTTTAATTTCTTACTCAGAAGGACCAGGGTTGTTTGCTAGAATTGGGAGATTAAACACTGTTTCAGATGTGAGGAATGGGGGTAATAATTGGCATTTAACAAATCCTATTTAGGGTAAAAACAGGTGTAATAAATTTCTAACAAAGTCACCTGTATTCCAGGGTATCTTATAGACATTTTAAGAAATTTTGAAATCAATCAAAGCAAATCAGACAAGAGAAATAATGACAAGATGAATCAGCTTTCTTAATCTAATCTATCTTGAACACCTGTAATATACTAATTGTACAAAAAGACAACCCATTCATATATATCCATGATGCCATTTTTTATTTAAAAATAATAAATTAGAACTGACTTGCAAATACAACTGCCAATCTACTGGGAAGCTATTGTTCTTCTCACATAGTTACTATTTCATGTGCAACCCTTTCTATTATTCTACTTACTCAAAAAAGTGGCTTTTTCAGTTTTATTACTATCTTTTCTTCATCCCTATGCAGAGGAACTTTAGAGTAGCCACCTATTTCTTGGTTGAAAAATTAGCTTAGTTAGACCATATCTCATGGTAAATATGAAAAGAGAATACACAAAAATGGTTAGTACCTTGCCCAAGGTCAGAGTTACAAGGATTATATTAAAACATTTTCATATTCTGTGGCTGTCTAAACATCTGTATGTTGACCTGATTATTCAGTACCATGGGCACAAACAGTCCAGGTTCCTGTAGGGATTCTGGTTTCAAAAAACCAGTATCTGACAAAAAAATATAACACACTGTATGATTACCCGTTACACAAAATGTTAA